>NW_019805489.1:0-197752 GCF_000001405.40 Homo sapiens | reverse complement strand
GAATTCACATCTTCCTAAAGACCAAAACCAAAAAAGAAATGAGATCAATTCTACTTCAAATTATCCTGAAGACATATCACAGTTGATCTTCCTAAAATCGTAGATTTTCCTAAGAAAACCTGTGGGTATATAAGACAAAGCCTGTGTGGGATGCACCATTCACAGCACCACAACACATAAAATCACTTTCCAGAGAAAGCTTTTTAAAACATGCCTTGAAATCGGGTGACAGCATCATGCTAGCAAACAAGAACTATAATAAATCAGAGAGAAACTAAAAGAATGCAGTTCAAGTATTTTGCACTTAGATATGAGTTCTAAATTTCTTTTCAAAGAATCAATATGTCAGTATGTCAATTCTTTGTCTTCTACTTTTAAACTTAACTTCCTCATAAAGCAAACTTTTTCAATTACCTGCTCCACCCTGACTCATACCGATTACCTGCTCTGTCATAACCATTTTTCCTGCCAAACCACTCGCTCCGTCACTCTCTTTAAATTAGCCAATCAGAATTAGTTTTGCCTGTGCGGTCTAACCCTAGACAAAAGGGGAAGGACACAGCAGCAGGGGCCACACGCCTCAGGGTAAGAACCCCTTTCCCTCCCTTGTCCAAGTGTACGCTCACCATTGCTCCATTGCTTCGCTTCTAGAGAAGTAACTTGCCGTGCGGAGGATTAAAAAGAAAATTTTATATTCGAGTGCTATTTCTTTTGCGGCACCAAAACTTTATTTATAACACTGTTTATGTGTCTTAATTTTGGGTGGAAAGGTGCAGAATATTGGATTATCTAGAGCAAGTTTTCTAAATAGTGTATTAATTTTGGGTAGAAAGGGGCAGAATATGAGATTATCTACAGCAAGGTTTCTAAACTGTGACATTAGTAATGACATTATAAAGAAGATTAATTTGTGTTGTGGAAGACTGTCTGATACATTTTAGAATATTTAGCAGCATTTCTGCTCTCTATCCATTAGACGCCAGTAATAACTTCCACTCCTCAGTTCTAACAACTCCTGACTCTCCAGTTATTACAACTAAATAAAATCGCCAAATGTTTCCAGGCGGCAACATCACCCCTATTTGATAACTATGTCTCTAGAGAATTAATTTTCACTACTTGGTAGAACCGCTGATTCCATTAAGAATCTGTCAAAAGCTATGGATTCTTTAACCAGAAAAATCCCATATGTAGACCAAAAATGTACATGTAATTTTCAGGGCTCATGGATTCCCTGTGTACCCAGGTTAAGAACTTCTCGTTTAAAGGAATGGTAGCTTATGTGTCTTCCAGGAAAACTTTCATAAATGTTTATTTCTTGCAATTGAACCTTATATACAGTTGGATGATTTTAAGGGATATGTAGAGAAATTGAATATTGTTGATAGAAATAACTGAAATGAGAGAAAAGACTCCCCAACTACAGTTTACCAAAAGTAATTTCCATAATCAAAATCAAAATAACTCAGATTACTTTTTTGTGGAGAAAGCAGGCAAGTTTTAAATTAAAATTAGAGGTTGTATACTAAATGTGTACTGAGAAGACAATATCAGAAGTGAGATCAGGTATGAGAAAAAGTATTTAATTAACAAAGGCTGTTGTAGTTAGATTTGTTGTTTTTACATGACTAGCAACTTTCAACTATATCTTACTTAGAGCAGACCACATTTTATTTGAGAACTCATATCTCACCTCCTATTCTGATCACTGAGATGTCACTAGTCTGACCCACCTTTTGTTTCCACTGAAAAGCACACTAACCCAGAGCATGCCATTTCAGCGCACGCCATTTCACTGCTCCAGATATTATTTCAGGTATGGGACATGACCTCAGTGGGGCCTTCATAAGTCAACCCAGGCAGTTGAAACTTTTTGTCCTACTGTATATGCTAAGCCTGAAGCTGCTGATGTTCATATATTAGGAGCATTCAACGAATATTTGTTAGTATTTTCTATTCACCAGCCAATATTAAAACAACTAATGAAATTACATTATAGTGAAGAATAGTAAATCAATATATATGTAAAATAAATATAATTTTAAATAATGTGCTTAGAAGAGAATAAAGCAAAGACTTAGAGATGTTTATCTCCAAATTATTGAGATTTTAGTTTAAAATATTTGATTATTCAATCAACTGTTTTTATAGCTAATAGGAAAATTAAATACAATCTTCATATCATGCACTAAAGGAAAATAATATGGGAAAGACATTTTTAAATAATGACTTGGTTTCTTAGTTAAAAAGCAGAAAAATGTTGATTATTGTTTTTCTTACTAATAGTATCCTGAGAATTTTCCTATTTAATAAAAATCTATCATCAAGAATTTTCTTCCGTATTTATTTCCTAGGGCTGATGTGACAAAGCACTGCAAACTGCATGGCTTAAAACAACTGACATTCATTGTCTCAGGTTCTGGATCCCAACATTTCTCTTTGAAAGCTCTAGGCAAGGATCTTTCCTTGCCTCATTTTAGCTTATGGTGGATGCCTGCAATCCTTGGCACTTCTTAGCTTGTAGAAGCATCACTCTAATCTCTGCCCCTGTCTTCACGTGGCCATCTCCGTGTGTGTCTCTGTGTCTAAAATTTCTCTAACTACCAGGACATTAGTTATTGGATTAGAGCCCACCCTAATCCAGTATGACCTCATTTTCACTTGATTACATCTGCAAAGACTATTTCCAAATAAAGTAACATCCATCAGTACTGGGAGTTAGGACTTGAACATATCTCTCTGGGGAACACAATTCAACCCAAAGCACCTTCTATAGATACTTAACCACTTAGCATCGAAAGCAGAATATTGTGCTTATTCACTGGAAAAAAAAAGTTAGAACTAATTAAATTGTATATATTTTGAACAACAAAAATCTATTTATTTTGAGAACTGTAGAAATATACAAATTAATATTAACTACAAGATTCATTCCAAAGATAGAATATCATTTCTTTTGTCTCAAGTTAAAATAGTATTATTATTTTATTCAGATTGTAAGAAATCATATTCACTTTAAATATTCAGAAAATTATAAAAAAGGGAAAAATGTATACTCCCTTGAGACAAATAAAGTCTCTGTAGATATTTCATCATACTAGATATATTAGCTTTTAATTTATAATGTTTCCAGATTTTTGCATTGTCAATATTATGAAACTGATACGTTTAGATTTTATTTGTTGGAAGCATTCTAAATCTGTGTTCTCTAGGGCTGAAGGGAGACACTATTCAACTTTTATATGACAGACAATCATCTCTCTCTCAAATTACCAACAGAACACGAAATTTTAGATTCTAATCCTTGATTCTAATTTTACCCGTAAAAGTAGGGCTTTGTTTTCTTCTTCTTCTTTCTTTTGGACATCTATAAATGGCAGAGGATTTTTCACTCTTCTTGGCCAATCAACAAACACTCTCTTCTAATGCTCTGCATTTGTCCTTGTTATATCTCCTTAATTTATAAGAATACATCTAATCCCTTTGCCATATGTGAGGGAGGATTTCTTATCCATCCTAAGTTCTTACTCTAGGCTTGACAGATCAGTTACTTCAATTATATTTCACATCCTGCAATTTCAGATGCATTCACTATTTTACTCACTTTCTTCTGGATATATAGCCATCTTAAATTGCATTCTTGGGCCGGGCGCGGTGGCTCACGCCTGTAATCCCAACACTTTGGGAGGCCGAGGCGGGTGGATCATGAGGTCAGGAGATCGAGACCATCCTGGCTAACAAGGTGAAACCCCGTCTCTACTAAAAATACAAAAAATTAGCCGGGCGCGGTGGCGGGCGCCTGTAGTCCCAGCTACTCGGGAGGCTGAGGCAGGAGAATGGCGTGAACCCGGGAAGCGGAGCTTGCAGTGAGCCGAGATTGCACCACTGCAGTCCGCAGTCTGGCCTGGGCGACAGAGCGAGACTCCGTCTCAAAAAAAAAAAAAAAAAAAAAAAAAAATTGCATTCTTTAGAATTTATGCAAATGCTCCACAGGTGGTATAATAAGAATAGTGAAAGATTGAGTGACTTCCATCCCTATTCCTTTATATAAAGTTTATTAATTTAAGGTAAAGTTAGCCTATTAACACTTATGTAGCATTGTTGTTTCATATTTAGCTTGTTGCCAAATAAAATCTCTAGAGCTTTCCACATGTGCTGTTACTAAGACATGTCTCCCTTAATTATCTATTATAATAGAAACTATAGCATTAGCAAGAATAATTAAAACCCACAGATAAGTCTTCAATTACATCTTATTCATTTGTCTAAGATTCTAACACTAAGCCTCTACAGAATCACTAAAAAGTATAAAAACAGATTGATTTGAAATTTGACGTCATTAATTGCGTATCCTAGTGAAATGGTCAAAAATAGTAAAGTTTCAGAGATAATAGAAAAGATATGAATGTAATGTGGATAACTGTACTGACAGTAACCAGAAGCATTGTATTTTAATATTTTATAATTCTAGTATTTTAAAGTATATACAGGAAATTTCTTTTATAGCATTCTAGTGATACACCTTATCTTTTATTTCGGTGAATAGGAATTAAGTGGATTCAATTTTATTTGTCATTCTAACCATTTGGATTTCATCATCATGATTAATGTACAAGTCAGATCATTTACCTCTTAATGGACACCTCCATAATGTTTCTATTTATTAACTCAATAAATATATATTGTTTTATGTGTTCAAGTCTGTCTCTATTCTGCAAATGGACATATTTCTATGTGTATTTGTGTGCCCCCATTTATGTGTGCATGCTATGGTTTGAATGACCCTTCCAAAACCCATGTTGAAACTATTGGGGCTTATAAAACAGCATCCTAAAATGAAGGCCTCAGTGGCAGCCTCAGAAGCAAAAGTTTTTCTCCACCCTCCTGCTCTCCTGTCTCAGTCCCATTCTCCCCTGAGTCTAGCCATAGCAACTAGAATCTCTCTTCCCTAAAGTGTGTAAGAGAAACTAGAACCGCTTTTCTAAAAGTCAGATATAAAACCTAAATATATCATTCTAATTTTCCCTCTGCCTTTCTAAGTACAAATTGGCCATAAAGAAAATCTGACCTACTTGGTTTGTCTGTAGGTTATAAGAGCCCCACTCCAGAGGGGTCCCTGCTCTATACCCAGAAGGAAGGAATACATGCTCAGAGAGGCCAAGAAGAATCTATACAGATAGGCCATACTGGGTTCCCCAGTCAGGCTATTAACATTAGATCACAGCCATTTTGTTCAATCATATTTCCACAAAGCTATCAATGCTTTGTTGAACCTAAGCATAAACATGAATAATTACCCCTGTATCTTTGGGTCTTTATTCTGAAGGCTCCTATGTATACATATTAAAACAATTTGTATGACCTTTTTCCTATTAATCTGCCTTTTGTAAGTTGATTTTTTGATCTACGAAACTTAATCCCCACTGTGGCAGTATTGAGAGGTGGGACCTTTAAGAGGTGATTAGTGCATGAAGGTTCTGCCCTCATGAATGGGTTAATCTATTCATGGGTTAATAGATGAATGGGTTATCATGGCAGTGGAACTGGTGGCTTTATAAAAAGAGGAAGTGAGACCTGAACTAGCGTGTTTGACCCCCACACCATGTGATGCCCTGTACCACCTCGGGACTTGGAGAGTCCCCATCAGCAGGAAGGCTCTTGCCAGATGGGGCCCTATGACCTTGGACTTCTCAGCCTCCAGCACTGTAAGCAATTAATTTCCTTTTAAATAAATTAACCAGTTTCATATATTCTGTTATAAATAACAAAAGATGGACTAAGACAGTATGTATACATATTTGTGTGGCCACACTGAATGACATGCTATAAGAGTAAAGAAGACGTAAAGAATTATAGGTGCTCTTCCTGCTTAGGATCTGCCTTATGGGTCTTAGGAATGGGAGGCCATCTGGTTTAATTGTTGTTTGAAAATTTAGGAAAGAGGATGAAGCTCATGAATGCAGTTCCTACTGATACAGGAATTAAGAAGAAATTATTTAGGCAGATACTGAGGGTAAGGAAGTCCTCTGAAGATTTTCCTTTTAATGAAAGGCAGCCCAAAATCATTTTCTTTTCTAACAAAGAGCAGCCTGTAAATCGAGATGTAAACATAGACGAGCAACCTAGAAGTTTGCGTGGGTGAATGCTGACAGTTGTGCCACTAAGAAAAGGCTATCTGGGACTAGGCATGTTCAAAACGGCAGCTCCATCTTCTCTCCTCCTTTCCAGCCACGCGTACAGCAAAAAGCAGACAACATGGCACTGGCCAAGTGGAAAGCCCATTTCCATAACAAGATTAGGGTGGGGTGGCCAGCCTTCCCCACGCATTATGTAAATATCACACCTGGTTCAACCAATCTGCGATCCCTATGTAAATCAGACACTGCCTCCTCAAGCCTGTCTATAAAATCCGGTGTACTCCGCCACGGGCTGGAATTCCCATTTGTGTGCCCTTCTCTCTCTCAAGAGAGAGAGCCGTTTTCCTTTATCTTTCTTTTTCCTATGGAGACTCTACTCCTAAACTCACTCCTTGTGTGTGTCCATGCCCTTAATCTTCTTGGCATGAGATGATGAACCTCGAGGATTTACCACAGACAACGATGCCACTTCATTACCTGTTTTGTTGTCAATTCTAATTGTAGGCTAGTAACTGGTTTTCTATATTAATTAAATAATTGTAGTAATCTTTAAATTTAAAATTGGAGAAAATAACACAAATAGCAAATTTGCCATGAAATGTATTTATATGATGCATTGATATGTGTCAAAAATTTAGTTTTAATTCTGTAATATTCTTGTATATCAGAAATATGTAAGAAAAAATATTTTCTAAATTGACATGAATAAAGAAAAAAATATTTTGAATCTTTATTTAGCCCTTGTTGAACAATAAGGACCATTCAAAGATAACTAATGCATGATGTCATGAAAAATAATTATTCACTTAAAATCATAGTTGGACCTCATCCTTTTACAAAACTGTAAAAGCCACTGTGAAATGTTTGTCCACCTACTGATAAATTGGAGCAGATATGAGCCATTATAAGTCTTATGAAGATTATGTATTTAGGAGTAGAAACTTTGGAAGAAATATAAAGGGCATAGACTGGGATACAATGTCATCAACCCATGTGTTAAAATAGGTAAAGATTGAATTGTTATTAAAAATACTACTACATAAACACAAATTAAAGACTATTTTATTGTACTGAAAGAAGAGTTGTTCTTGAAGAATTTTAGAAAGACAAATAGATACAGATACAGGCCCATAAAAATTAGCTACACAATTGTATCATCTCCAAAAGTGGCACATATAAGGTGGGCAAGGCTGGTATGGCAAGTTAAACTTACAGAGATGGTAAGAAAATTACTTAAAAACAACTTAGAGTTAACAGAAGTGACACTAACAAGTAGATGTCCAGGTTTTGGAGGGAAGTTCATTAAAAGAAAATATTGAGTCCTCTTATGGCTATATTTGAAATCATTAAAACTGAATAAAATTTCACAATCCACAGAGAATGAATTGAGTAAAGTGATCGCAATTTAGAGCCATCCATAGTTCAAATTGTGTCCATTTCTAAAATATAAAGATACTCCTCACGGTATTTTCTTTCTTCTAACTGGCATTCAAAACAATAATTGGCAAATAAGTTGTTCCAATATCAGTTTTCCTTTACTATTTGAAAATTTCAGGTTCATGGCTAAAATCTCAGAAAGGGGATTGATTATTGAATCCCCGACCTTTAAATTAGAAAATCTCAACTAACAGTGCACATTTGGATCACACTGGTATCACGAAGTAGTTTGCATAGCTTATCACACACACTTATCTCACACATATCAATACACTTAAACACTAAAGCTTGATGTCAACTCTTCTCTACTCCTAAGACAATACCTTCTCCTTGCCTATGTAAGCAAGGTAAAAGTCTGCTTCTCAGCCTGAAGAGATATGGGCCAATATTTAAACAAAAGATAAACAATAGGGCTATCTCATAGTCCTAGAGAACTTTCTGTTTGCTGGTGTTTCTTTACAGTCAACTCTTATGCATGTTAGTGACAACAATCAATGTTACAAATGGCCTCAGCAATTACCACACATTCCATGCAGCTTTGAGACTTTGTTTCCTAACTGTCAAAGGGGCAAATGTATCACATGCTCAGTTTAGTCAATGGTAATTGCCAATGGGCATTATGAGTATTGTCTGTCATAAACGTTTTCCCTAAAGACTATACCTCTCCTTTATTTATTTTAAAATAAAACAGCTTTATTTTAAAAGGATTTTGAAGTGAAAGATGTTCATTAGAGCCGCATTTTCCCCTGTAAAAATTGAAGCAACCAAACACATTTCATCTTGCTCTCACACTTAGGTACAGGCATATGATATAGCCTTAGTGATCAGAGGTTCCCTCCTGGAACTATGTCTCATGAGAGAGGAAAAAAATAGAGAAACAACTGGGAAATCATTCACAGCAGCAATGAGAAGCTGTTGGAGAGTTCCAGGCTGTACCAGTGCCTGTAACGTCCATCCAGCCAGGCTGTCTTAGTGGATTTGATTTGCCGGCTTATCTGATGCCCAACTTTCATTGGTTTGTGCCTAATTCAGAGCTGGGTCCTCCAGCTTTCTAACAAGACTCTTTGGGCAGTTGTGTATTTATCCAGTATGCTTTTTTTTTTTTTCCCAAAAATTAGCTAGAATTCTCTTTTGTTGTTTGCAACTAAGACCATGTACAGAACACTACTCCTTTCAGTTCCACAAATAACATTGAGCTAATTTAGATACCAAATTGCTAGGATCAATAATCATAAGATTCATCATCAAAACATCAGCCTCTAAATTGCCTTTCTTGGCTGTATTCTGAAGGCAGGATGGCAGTCTCTCAATGATTGCAGAGAAATGGCAAGAAGCAGAGGAGTCATGAGCAAGACTATTTGTTGAGGCCTCTACCAGCAGAAACCACAGGCTCTGTTTGATACTAGCTATTTCTGTGTGACAGAATTTTCTTGCTCTAATTTATAGCCTATTTTTAATGGAACAAGTTGTTGCAACATTACTTTAGCTTTCTACAAATCCACAAAAATTGAACTTACATGATTTGAAGAAGAGAAAATTGATCAAACACCATGACACAGATTGAATCCTTTGATAGTTCTACAAGAGGTAGGCAAAGAAGCACTTGCTTTTAAACAGAGACGCCTCCACAGGCCTAAATGGGATACAAGCTACCATATCTCAGAATTTCTTGGAGGTGGAGCTTAGGGATTTATACATATATTATAGCTCCATGGGTAATTCAGATATTCATCCCCAGTGAAGAGACACTGTGCTATAGAGACTAGACACTCAGGCAGAATCTGCTTAGAAAATATCAAAATCCTAACTGCTGACATGTGTCTATACACACAGAACTAATATTTGAAACTTTTTTTATTCCTTTCAGTATTAACTCCACTTCTCATTTATATCTGGTTTTCCTTCTTTTATTTGCCTCTAGTGTGCCTCTTAATAATTGCCACAGACTCTGTGTGCTTGTGTGGCCCATATTTCAGATTTTATCAGGAGTTCTTTCTCAAAGACAACACACCGCTGCTTGTAACTGTTTCCTGCACTTTTCTCCATATCTCCCCTACATGCACTTTTGGTGCATTCCAACCGGAAGAGAGGATAATACAGAAACAGGTAAAGGAGCGAGATCACAAATCCAAATTTGATAAGCTCATGAGATTTGGCATAATACCACTGTAGTGATTAATGCAGAAATAACCATACATAATGTCCCCTAAAATGTCTTTTGTACTCATAAAGAAGATAAAAACAATGAAAAATGTGATGAAAACCCTCATATTTTCAGAGTGAATATTATCATTTTCTCTTTCATTATGTTATAGTTAATACATTATAAATTCTAATAAACCTATACATTTTCCAACATTAGTGATAATATTCATTGTCTAACAACATAACCTACCATTTAAATCCACAAGTAATGAATTTATAGATGTGCACTAAGAAAAGTATGAGAGAAAAATAACTACAACTGTTTATTAAGAAATTAATTGAATTACAAGGGTTATAGAAGCATTCAATTATCATGCTGCATTTACCACATTAATCTTAACCATGACCCTATACAACCCAAAGTTACCCATCTTGTTTCTGGAAAAGAGTGACCTTGAGGTCACTTGTAAAGCCTCGTAATCAATACGTTTGGAAGAGAAAGCAAGCTGTCTGTTCAATGGAATCCATGTAGATTGCCCTGTGGTTGATTCACTGCTCACATCTGGTTCTTATGTCTAGCTTTGTCTCCCATATTTACATTTTTGATCCTCTCACCCTTTGGAAAGGCAGATGTCTGCCTGACCACCTATTATAGATTTATTTGCCTACTATGACAGGACTCCTTGACCTTGGAGAAAGCTTGATGACCCTTTGTATAATTTAATAACTGTATTGGCTACTAATGTACATCTTTCTGAAGTCCTTGGGATCCAAGATGCCACACGCTGCTGTCTATTGTACTATGACATTGGCATCCCTTAGACTGCCCACTGTAAATCATATTTCCCATTTTAGAAAGGACAGAACAAATAAAAGATCTTTTATGTACAGTCTTTTACATATTTCATAAATGTAAAAGCTTGTTTTTTACATATATTCATCAATTACTTTTTCCCTACCTTGGCTAAAATAGGTTGGATCGCTCCATAGTATTGCCTATCATGAACAGAATTAAACTGTGCTATATCAGAATATGCACATTATTGGATATGCTAATCACTAGACCAGAAAATAATTTTCAGTAATAATGAAAATGTTCTTTTATGCTGCTCTGCAGAGTAGTCACTGACACATGGTTTTTGAGCACGCAAAAAGTGGCTAGTATGACTGAGGAACTCAATGTCTCATTTTATTTAATTTTTATTAATTTAAATTTAAACTTTAAAATCCACATATGGCTCATGGCTACACTGTTGAGCAGTTCAGGTCTAGACCGTTTTTCTTTTAGGATCTTTATTTTCTTTTCGTCTCCAGGATTGTACCCTGCACGTTTAATGAACATGTTCCATTAATAATATTCATTAAATAAGTAAGTGAGTGAATTGTGACTGTGTACACTGCTATTCACTTCTACTTCCTGAAAAACTGAAATAAGAAGCACACAGAAACTGGGGCAGCATTGAGCTCAGAACAGCATGTTCAATAAGTAATAACTGCATGTATATTTTAGAGTAGCTTCTTGTAAAGTTGCTTCTGAATATGTTTTTTTCACTCTGCAATGCAAACAGGGAAGTCTGAACAATAGAGGAACTCTCTGAAAACTAGACAATAGCAGCTCAACTCTGAATTTGAAAGAATGTGAGGTCAGGGGCTGCTGATCCAAGGAAACAAAGGCAAATTGTTTGCTTCTGCTGGCCGCCTTTCACGTCTCACCCAGGAGAACTGTTCAGAGAAGAAGAAACATGCAGAAGCAGGTGCTATATTTTTCAGAGAAGTGACAGCAGATAATATCTCATTTGGAAGACTGCTGGTCTTCTCAAGAAAATTGTATAGTAGTTCGGCTCCTACTCAAGAACATTTTTCACCACATTGCCACCACCATAAATTCTTGCTTTATCTTCCATCTTGTGTCTTTCATATGATAAAAATAATCGTGGAAAAGCAGATCTGTTATCACCTGAAGTTTTCATTTCTTTCTTTCTATAAAGTACCAATAAAGTTGGATATAGTTTTTAAGAATTGGCTTTTCCTCATAAAATCTTAAATAGGAGAAATAAAAAGCTTTGGAGCAGTTAACAATGCCTTATAAATTCAATGTATTAATATTATAATTATTTAAAAGTTCAGTTATTCTTTTATTAAATTGGTGATATCATTGACCATGATACAGCCTCTGCAGACTTGATCCAGGATCATTCACATTTAACATAGGACTTAATTGCTTATGAAAATGCTCCAGAAGTTCAAGAAACATGTTTCTTTTTTCATTCTTTCTTTTGTTTTTGAAACTGTCTCACTGTGTTGCCCCCAAGCTGGAGTATAGTAGTGGGATCACAGGAAACCTTGACCTCCAGGGCTCAATTAATCCTCCAATCTCAGCCTCCTGAGTAATTAGGACTACAGCTACTCACCGCTATGCCAAGTTAATTTTCAATTTTTTTCATAGAGATGGGGGTCACACTATGTTGCTCAGGCTGGTCTCTAACTCACTGGCTCAAAGCGATCCTCTACCTCAGCCTCCCAAATTGCTGGAATTACAGGCATTAGGCACCATGCCCAGCCTAGGAACCTGTTTCTTAAGCCAATTAGTAGACAGGACTATTGATTGAAGCATAATCTAGACAAAATTGAACATACCCTAGGTTAAAGTATGATTGTAAGTAACAAGGACTAGCTCTTTGCATAGTAGTTCCTCACACTTGGAATTTCCTACTGCATTTGAATGCATTTAATGCAGAAGCGCAAACTCTATCCCTGAGGTAGAATTGGCATGTTTATGGCTCTGTCAGAATCTGTGTGATCTGGTGCAAGTCACTAAATCTTTCCACACATTAGTTACCACCTGACTAAACTGTGGGATAACAATGAGTGAGAGTCTCTGTATTTATTTGCCATGGCTGTATTAAGAAATACCACACAGTGGGTGGCTTAAACAACAGAAATGTATTTTCTTACAGTTTTGGAGACTAGTCGTCCAAGATCAACATGTTCACAGGTTTGGTCTCTTCTGGGGCATTTCTTCCTGGCTTGCAGATGGCTCTCTTCTTACTGTATTGCCACGTGGCCCTTCCTTTGTGCATGTGCATCCCTGTTCTTTCTTTGTATGTCCAAATTCCTCTGCTTATAAGGACATCAGTCAGATTGAATTAGAACCTAGGCTGACAGCCTCATTTTAACTTAATCAGCTCTTTACAAAGGTCCTATCTCTAAATAGAATCATATTCTGAGGTACTAGAGACTAGGGCTTCAACATAAATTTTGAGAGAACACAATTCAGCCCTTGACATTGGCTCTTAGTCTCTCACAAGAGTTTCATGAGACTAGATTATGATTAGCTTGGGTCAGGTTATCTAGGAACGACCACTGCAGGAGTGATTGGTGGTTCCAATCACTAACTATGCATCTATTTGACTTTTACTATCTTACTATCATCTGTGATATTGCCCGGACTTACATACTTTTATGAATTTAGCCTCTTAAATTAATTGTTGAGAGAGATATTCTATCTAGGCTACCAGTCCAGTACCTCTTTTATAGAGAGGACCGATAACATCATCACCATAGTAACAAATAACATTTGTAGAGTACTAAGTATATGAGAGGCACCCTGTTAAGAGCTGTGGACATGTTAAGTCCATTACTCTTCACAAGGACCTTTGAGGTAGGTAGTTCTATCATCCTGACTTTAGGGGTGATGAAAGGGGTTTTAGGGTTACTAAGTGGGAGACCTGGGATTTAAATCCAGGCATTCTGAATCCAAAGTACAAATACCAAGATAAAGTATGAAATCCTTGATGATTTCATAGTTTTGTCCCTGTCTTCCTGTGTGTCCTTGAATAAGTTCTTTAACTTCTCTGAGTGTCTCCCAATAACAGTGCCTACTTTATGGAGTTGTTGCAAAAGTGACTGAGGTAGTTTATAAAGGAAGACTTTGGAAATTATAAAACACATTATAAATACCAGTTATTTTTTTAAAACATTTCCAAACAGTTGGTACAACTGAACCAGCAGGTGGTAATATTCTTTTTAGGAGACTTGCAGATCTAATCATGGTGTCATTGCTGACAGACTAATCATGACAAAGCCAACTGACATGTCTCATTCATGTGGGAATGAACAAAACTGAGACACAGAAGGGACCTCCAATTTTTATTCTGATATGATTTGGCTGTGTCTCCACCCAAATCTCATCTTGAATTTTAGTTCCCATAATCCCTGTATATCGTAGGAGAGAGCTGGTGGGAGGTAATTGAATCATGGGGGCAGTTTCCCCCATACAGTGAGTGAGCTCATGATAGTGAGTGAGTTCTCATGAGATCTGATGGTTTTATAAGGGGCTTCCCCTTTCACTCGGCTCGCACACTTCTCCTTGCTGGCCTCATCATCATTCTCAGTAAACTATCGCAAGAAAAAAAAACCAAACACCGCATATTCTCACTCATAGGTGGGAATTGAACAATGAGAACACATGGACACAGGAAGAGGAACATCACACTGGGGACTGTTGTGGGGTGGGGGGAGGTGGGAGGGATAGCTTTAGGAGACATACCGAATGCTAAATGACAAGTTAATGGGTGCAGCACACCAGCATGGCACATGTCTACATATGTAACAAACCTGCACGTTGTGCACATGTACTCTAAAACTTAAAGTATAATAATAATAAAATAAAATAAGAAAAAAAAGAAAAAGGATGTGTTTGCTTCCTGTTCTGCCACAACTGTAAGTTTCCTGAGGACTCCCCAGCTCTGCGCCACTCTGGGTCAATTAAACCTCTTCCCCTTATAAATTACCCAGTCTCTCGCATGTCCTTATAGCAGCAGGAGAATGGACTAACACATATTCATTTACTCATCTGCTTATTAATTAATTCATTTAACATTTAAGTAGTTAGTCTATGACACAAAAAGAGCCAATGCTATAGCAGAAATTTCAAATAAATAAACACCTATAATTAATACAATGTGACCATTACTACAATAGAGCTGTTTATAATATACACAAAAAAGGAGTGATTTATTTTCTCATGGTGTTAGTGGAAGGAGAAGACATCAGTTATGATCTCATGGAGCAGGTGATATGTGTACAATGAGCTACATATCCCCAAGAGAGGAAGAATAAGAGAGATGTTCACGTTGGAATCACTATCTGAAGCCCTACAGGGCAAAATATGTTCCTGAGCCAGCAAGCTACTCATGCAAGTCTGATGGTAGGAAGTCTGAGTAGGACCAGGTCTTGTGGGGCACCTGAGGATGGCTACTATTGAAGTTGTGGCAGTTATCAACAACTAGGACATGAGTGCCATGATACTGAAAAGAAATATTACAGTATAGGAACATGCAAGACATAAAGACATAGAGGCTTTGTTGGCAGTTCTCTATTCTTTTTTTTTCTTTTTTTTTTTTGACACGGAGTTTTGCTCTTGTCACCCAGGCTGGAATGCAATGGTGCAATCTCAGCTCACTACAACGTCCGTCTCCTGGGTTCAAGCGATTCTCCTGCTTCAGCCTCCTGAGTAGCTGGGATTACAGATGTGCGCTAGCAGGCCTGGCTAATTTTTGTATTTTTAGTAGAGATAGGGTTTCACCATGTTGACCAGGCTCGTCTTGAACTCCTGACCTCGGGTGATCTACCTCCCTCGGCCTCCCAAAGTGCTGGGATTACAGGCATGAGCCATCGCGCATAGTCCTCTGATCTTAAAGACAATGTAATGTGAATATTCAAAAAACTTTCAAAATGAGAAATAATAGACCCAAAAGCACCAATTAAAATATTATTTCAATAATGTAAATAAGCTATTAAGAGGTCTGAATTATGGCAGTGGAAGTTAAAAACTCAGAAGAATGAATGTATTTAGAGGCATTCTGAAGTAAAATGTATGGGACTTGGTGACTGGCTAGATAAGCAAGAGGAAAAGAAAATAAAAACAATTACGTTGAGAACTATGAAGATTGCTGTTTTTGCATGTCAAAAATGGTAGAATGTTGGTGATAAAGTTCAAGTTAATGAGATAATAGGTAGATTTCTAGATATTAAATTAAGTAAATGGATAACTCATTAACTGAGAGAGTATACAGAAGAGGAGCATGAAGTCTGAGGAGCTGAGGTGTTTGGAAATATTTAAGGAGGTAAATAGGCACTAAAAAGAGAGGTTCAGGTGACCTGGGGTGTTGATGGTAGTCGACACCCATAGGATTTAATGAGATCACCCAAGTAGAGTGATATAGTTGGAATGTGTGTCCCCACCAAATCTCATGTTGAATTATCATCCCCACTGTTGGAGGTTGGGCCTGATGGGAGGCATTTGGATCATGGCGGCAGATCCCTCATGAATGACTTGGGTCATCCCCTTGGTGATAAGTGAGCTCTTGCTCTAAGTTCATGTGAGATCTGGTGGTTTAAAAATGTATGGCACCTCTGCCCCACTCTCTATCACTTGCTCCTGCCTTTGTCATGTGATGTGCCTGCTCTCCTTTCACCTTCTGCCATGATTGGAAGCTTCTTGAGGCCTACTTAGAAGCTGAGCAAATGTCAGCACCATGCTTCCTGTAAAGCCAATAGAACCATGGGCCAATTAAACCTCTTTTCTTTAGGAACCACCCAGTCTCAGGTATTTCTTTATATCAATGCAAGAACAACCTAACAGAGTATGAAGAAAAAGAAGAAAAAACCTGAGGACAAAACCATGGGCTTATGCATGTACATGAGTGCGGAGGGGAAATATTTAGGAGATGAATACAGAGATGGCAAGAAACTGGATGGTTGAAGTAGGAAAATAAAGCATTAATAATGCCTAATAGCCAGGCACAGTGGCTCACGCCTGTAATCCCAGCACTTTGGGAGGCCGAGGTGGGCAGATCACCTGAGGTCAGGAGTTCAAGACCAGCCTGGCCAACATGGTGAAACGCCATCTCTACTAAAAGTACAAAAAATTAGTTCGGCATGGTTACGGGCACCTGTAATCCCAGCTGCTGGGGAGGCTGAGGCAGGAGAATCACTTGAACCTGGGAGGCGGGGGCTGCAGTGAGCCGAGATCACACCATTGCACTCTAGCCTGGGCAACAAGAGTGAAACTGCATCTCAAAAAACAAAAATTAATAATGCCTAATAATCAAAATAATAAGAAAGATTTAGATTAGGCTGGATAGTTAAGAGCTGAAAAGAGACACCTGGACATGGGAACCAAAATGTCCCCACTGACCTTTTCCAATGCAGGAGCAAAAATTTTGCACAAAAGTGCAAATTGGATACTATCTGAAGAGGAGTAGATCAAAGACCTAGAAACAGGCACTGTTAGTAAAACAACTTTAGGGTGTCTGGAGAAGAAGAGAGGATGAAACAGAGCAGTATCTACAGACAGAGGGAACGTTGAAAGAAAGGTTTATTAGCCTTTTGTGTTGAGTGGTTTTTTTTTTTCCTAAGGGTAGGAAAAAATATTGTCCATTTATAGGTCAATAGGAAAGAGCTAGTGATGAGAGAATGACTGAGGATGTGGGAGAAGAGGATGTGCAGAGGGGCTGATAGCAGATGTACTCAGTTTCATCACTGTCAGACTACTCATGACAGAGCTGGCTGACATGTCCCGTGCATGTCATTTCCCCCTCTAAAGGAAGAAAGAGTGAACAGGGGGTATCATCATAGCAAGTGAGGCTAAAAGGTATCAGGAGCACCTTATAACTATGACCTCTAACATGTGAATAACCAAGTATGGAGAATTTTTTATGACAAGAATATTTATGCATGATGACTATTGCTTAACATGTATCTATGAAGTATATTTAAAAGCAGCCCAAGAGCTTACATCTAAAAAGCCCCTACTTTATATATTGTTGAACGAAATAAGTACATTTCTGAATTTGGTTAAGTCTTTCCTGTAACTTTTACACTCCTAGAAATATTCTGTTTTGTCTCTCACTATCTTAAGTCCAGTGAAGTGTGACTGAGATGAATTAAAATCTGTTAAGTAAAAGTAAGTAGTTTACATTTTTCAACCTATATCTGAATATGATTTTTCACAGCAAGTGTATATGCTTCCAAAAGGTAGATAACATATTTTATCTTTGAAATTATTAGATTAAACATTTAGAGAGTGGAAGATGATAGTTCCTAAATGTTGTACAATATTATCGAAAATGAACATAAATTGCATGAACCTTCAGGTTTTCATCCGTTATAAGATGACCTTCGGAAATTACTTCTGCAGCAATGAAACTAAACGTTCAGGGATGATGCATGTGTAGTGCAATAAAGTCAGAAATGTTTACATGGCACATACTGCAGAAGATAAACTGGCAGTTCTGCCGAAGCACCACTCCATAGCTAAGGTTTTTTTATTTTATTTTATTTTATTTTTCCATTTCACCTGAGCAAAAAGCAATGAAATACCTGTGTTAAAGGAATCTTTAAGTGCTACCGCTCATAATTTTAGTGTCTTGAGGTATCAGAAAAAGGTAATGATGGCAGTAGTCAGAATTCTTAGGTCAAAAGGGAATCTGGTAGTAAATGACCCAAAGCCTGCTGAGGTCTGCTCAAGACCTTGGGTGTTCATGTTTCTGATTGGTCTTGAAGTGATACCAATCACCAGAACCCAGAAGGAGAAGGAAACACCGTTCAAGAGGCCAAGAGGCTTTTTAAAAAATCCAATGATGTAAGTCTTTGGTAGCTGAATCTAAAGTGAATGGAGAAAATTTGTTTCTATCTTACACCTCTTATAGTTCTTACTCTATACCTCAAACTTTGCTCTTTCTCTTCTCATTTATTCTTTCTCAGAAGAAGAGGTATTTATTTTGCTTGCTAAGACAAACTCCTTTCCCTAGGATCTTGAACACATTTTTATTGTCTTTTCCAGGCCCTTGCTTTCATTATGTGAAGGCTTTCTTGTAACTTAAGTTTCTCTCTCTTCTGAATTCAAATCCTCAGCTTACGTACATTTCAGGTCTACTTTCTAAATAAATCAAACCAAAAGTCAACAAAAAAAAATAAGCCAACAACATTGTCCCTAGACTTTTTCATTCCTACAAGTAGTGTCTATTCTTTTTATCTTTTGCTATGAAACAAACCATACTGGATTAAAACAATAATTTTTTCTTATCTTTATGGACTGTGGGTTGACTTGGTTCTAGTGGGAAAATTTTACTCAGGGTCTGTCATGTAGTTTTTGTTAGATGGTAGTTGGGGCTGTGGAGACATAAGTCATTGTCACACATGTGTGATCTGACATCTCTGTCTTCAGGCAGACTCTTTTTTTTTTTTTTTCTCGAGACAGGGTCTTGCTTTGCCACCCAGCCTGGATGCAGTGGCAGGATCATAGCTCACTGCAACACTGAACTCCTGAGCTCAAGCAATCCTCTTGCCTCAGCCTCCCAAGGCTCTTTTGTAACTAGGTAGAGTTTCTCACAGATGGTAGTCTCAGCATAATAGGAGATTTTTACATGGTGACTGGCTTTCTCCAGAGTTTGAGAGACAGGAATTGGAAGCCACTGGGATCCATCTCTCAATAAGAGAAACGTCAAATAATGTTCCACATATATCTCTTTACTTTCCTTAGCGTCAAACATTTTTGTAATAATCTTAAACATTTGCTGCCGTCACATCCTTCCTACTCATTGTGTCATCCACACACATATAGCTAACATTCATCAAGAGCTTGTAAATTGCTAGGCATTCTGTCAAGTATTTTTTGAACATTACCTCAAGTAAAATCTCTAAGCTAGATATTACTACTATTATCTTCATTTAGAGATTTTGAGTTTTTGTCCATGGTCACTAACTTAGCTTGGACGCCATAACAAAATTTCATAAACTGAGTAGATTAAACAACAGAAAAATATTTTCTCATTGGTTGGGTTCTGGTGAAGGGTCTCTTGCTGGCCTGCAAATGACTGCTTTCTCACTGTGTCTGAGAGAGAGAGAGAGAGAGAGAGAGAGAGAGAGAGAGAGAGAGAGAGAGAGAGAGAAACAGAGAGAGACAGAGAGAAAGAAGAGAGAAAACTTTCTTTTCTCGTAAAGCCACAATCCTATCAGATTAGGGCCCCACCCTGATGACATCATTTCATTTTAATGGCCTCCTATAGACCCTATCTCCAGAAAGAGTCACATTAGGGGCTAGAGCTTCAACTTACACATTTTGAGGAAATACATTTCAGTCCATGGCATTTCACCCTGGCCCCCCAAAATTCATGTCATCACATGCAACATATATTCATTCAATTCCAACCGTCCAGAAATTCTTAACTAATTCCAGCATCAACTCTGAAGTGCCCTCTTTGACAAAAGTCAAAAGTGTCCTCTTTGATAAAATGTCCTCTTTGACAAACTCAACAAAAGCAAGCAATAGAAAGGACTCCCTGTTCAATAAAAAGTATTGGGATAACTGGCTAGCCATATGTAGAAGATTAAAACATTCTTTACATTTATACAGAAATCAACTCAAAATGCATTAAAGACTTAAATGTAAAACCTAAAACTATAAAAACCTTGAAAGATCATCTAGGAAATATCATTCTGAACATAGGACCTGGCAAAAATTTCGTGACGAAGACACCAACAGCAATTGGAAGAAAAACAAAAATTAACAAGCAGGGCCTAATTAAACTGAAGAGCTTCTGCACAGCACAAGGAATTATCAACAGAGTAAACAAACAACTTACAGGATTGGAGAAAATATTTGCAAACTATGCATCCAACAAAGGTCTCATATCCAGAATCTATAAGGAACTTAAACAGATTTGCAAGCAAAAACCAAACAACCCCATGAAAAAGTGGGCAAAGGACATGAACAGACACTTTTCAAAAGAAGACACACGTGTAGCCAACAAGCATGTGAAAACATGCTCAACTTCAATAATTAGAGAAATACAAACCAAAACCACAATGAGATACCATCTCATACCAGTCAGAATGGCTATTATTAAGAAGTCAAAAAATAACACATACTAGTGAGGTTGTAGAGAAAAGAGGAACACTTACACATTGCTAGTGGCAATGTAAATTAGTTCAGCCACTGAGGAAAGTGGTTTGGCAATTTCTCGAAGAACTTAAAACAGAATTACCATTCCACCTAGCAATCCTACTATTGGGTATACACACAAATGAATATAAGTTGTTCTACCATAAAGACACAATGCATATGTATGTTCATTTCAGCACTATTCACAATAGCAAAGTCATGGAATCAACCTAAATACCCATCGGTGGTAGACTGGATAAAGAAAAGGTGGTACACAGACACCATGAGACACTATACAGCTATAAAAAAGAATGAGATCATGTCCTTTGCAGCAACATGGATGGAGCTGGAGGCCATTAACCTATGCAAATTAATGCAGGAGAAAACTAAATATTCCAAGTTCTAACTTGTAAGTGGGAGCTAAATATCAAGTACATATGAACAAACAGAAGGAAACAATAGACACCAAGGCCTACTTGAGGGTAGATGGTGGGTGGAAGGTGAGGACTGAAAAACCACCTATCCAGTACTATGCAGATTACCTGGGTGACAACATAATCTACACCAAACCCCTGCAACATGAAATTTACTCATAAAACAACCTATATATGTACCCCTGAACCTAAAATAATGGTGAAAAAAAAAAAGAGAAAAAAAATCTCATTAAAAAGCCTGTCTTCTTACAAAAACTAAAATGAAAAATAAATATATCTAACTTCTGTATGGGTGAGATTTGAGGTATAATTCATGAGGCAAAATTCCTCTCCAGCTGTAAACCTATGTTCAAACTACAGTGGTGGGACAAGAATGAATAGACATATCCTGATGTTTAGGTTCTCCAGAGAAGCAATATATATATGTATGTATACTGGGATTGAGAGAGAGAGAGAGACATTTATTATAACGAATTGACTCATAATTAACGAGGCTGTGAAGTTCCAACATATGCAGTGGGCTACCTGGAGACCCAGGAGAAGTGATATAGTTCCAGTCCAAGTCCAAAGGCCTGAAAGCAAAGAGAGCTGATGGTGTATATGATCCAGTCTTAAAGCTATCAGGCTCAAGCAAGAAGAGCCAATGTTTCAGTTCAATTCTCAAAGCTGGAAAAGACTGACGTCCCAGATCGAAGCAGTGAGGCAGTGTCAACCTGACTCTTACTTGTCGCATTGCCTCATTTGTTGCAGTGTCAGGCTTTTTGTTCTTTTCAGCCTTTCAACTGATTGCATGAGGGTTACATACATTAGGCAGGAAAATCTGCTTTACTCAGCCTACTCATTCAAATGTTAATCTCATCCAAACACACATGCACACACACAGACACACACACACACACACACACACACACCCAGGATAATGGTTTGCCAAATATCTGGTGCAGTCAAGTTTTAACAAAACTAACCATCATAGTCACATAGCTAGCTATTTAGTAGACTGACTAGGAATTTATGACCACTTTATTCTCCCTTGTTTATTCTTTAGTTCCCCACAATGTGCTTTTATTTTACTTGAAATTGTTCTCTTCAAAGTCTCCATTGATTTGCTGTTCATGTAGACCAATGTGTTTTTAATCAGCCCTTTTTGATCTTACTATCGCTTTTGATCCTGGTGACTAACATGCCTTCTTGAAATGCTTACTTCTTGGTTTCCATGATAGTACTTGACTTTGGAACTTTTTTTGATATTTGTGACTATCATTTTTCTTAAAACTACTAAAGTTCACAGTTCACAGCAATCATCTCTCTACACACTTGAGTCTTAATTTTTTATATTTAGCATTTACCTTTCTCCTAAATTCAAGTTTCATAATTTCAAACTTTTCACTACTAGTCATTTCTATCCAAGTGTTCAAACTTAATTTGTCTCAAAGTGATTAATTTTTATTCTGAAACCTGCTATTGCTCTTTTCCCTATGTGCCTTATTTCAGATAAAGGACATTTATCAGACCTTCAATCACTAAGGCTCAAAACTGTGTGAGGTGATTACCTGTTTGTTATCTGTCTTGTACCCACTCTTTTTGGAAATCTTCCCTGTCTCTCAGTCCAAGGTATTAAAATGGGGCTGACCCAACCTCCAGCTCCAAATGTGAACATCTGACCTACACTGAGCCAATGAGAATCATATGCTGCCTTTGTGTGTGTGTGTGTGTGTCTAAAACGTATGGAAAAGATGTTCCCTTTTGATAACAATCTTTTAACCTCCAGGGTAATATAATTGTGGAGGTGGCAGGAGCCACCTTCACCACCACATATATGGAACCTACCTGAACATGAAGCCAATAAAAGGAAAGCAGTTCTGAGAAATAGCAAGAGACAGAATATCTTGATTCAAATATATGAACCAATAAATTTTCATTTTTGTTTAAGCAAGTTTGAGTTGGCTTCCTGTCACTTGTAATCTATGGACTCCTGACTGATGCCCAAGCCATTATATCTGACTCATGTTCTCTTATTCAATTCCTGATTAATCTACCCCTATAAAATCCTCTTCTATGTATTATCACAGAAACCATCCTAACTCAAAACTTCATCTGTCATCTAGAGTAAAGCAGTAGCCACCCACTTGTAAAACTTGCCTGTTCTGATCAGTCTTATTCACTATTCCCAGAACTATCATTCTAAATTACAGTTTGATTTGGTCAAACTTCTTGGCTTGTCATTCAAAGCCACTCACTGTCTATCTGTGTGTGTAGAGAATTATTTTTCAATGCACTATTTCATATAGCAAAATGTAGTGTTGATGAGAATAGACTCTGGAACCAGATTCTTAAGTTCACATTTGGGATCTGCCACTTTTTAGCTATGTACATTTTTTTAAGTATCTTAATTTCTCTATGCGCCACTTTCTTCATCTGTAAGATGGAGATAATAATAGCACCCATATCATAATGTTGTTAAGAAGATTAAAGTACTTGATAATAGAGAAGCACATTAAGCATGCCTGACACAGGATAATTGTTAGTTATGGAAAGTAAAATGCTAGAGCACAGGGCTTTTATTTTACCTTGTTTTTTGTAGCCCTTGTGTGTAACACATTCTGATACATGGGAGGCCCCCATTAGAAGTATACTAGATGAATGAATGAATGAAATCACCTTCTGATCCTCCTTGTTCCCTAAGCAAACAAACCTCTCTGCTCCCAAAGAAGGCCCTTATCCATGTTTCTACTTCTGTGCCTTTTTGCCTACTATTGATTTGGCCTAGAATTTTTTTTTCCACACTACACATAAAAACTACCATCTCTACTTCAATACCTTACTTGAGGTAATTGTCTCAGATTCCTCCAGCCAAAAGTAAATGCAATTCCTCCCCTGCAAAATACCTCATTCTGGATTATCTAGACTTCACTAATGGCAGCGATTTTTTCCCTGCCTTGCATTAGAGTTATGTATGTATGCGCATTATCTTATTTCTAAAGGATAATGATTCTAGGAGGTAGAATAATTCTCTTTGTAGTATCCCATAGCTCCTAGCAGAGGGTCATGCATGGGGTAGTCATTCGGTATTTATTTTTGTGTTAGTGAATATGACTATCATGAATATATAATAAGATTTATTGCTAGTAGGAATAAATATAGATGTCAATATTGACGCTCTACTTGGACTATGAGAAAGTAATATTCCAATATTAGCAAACCAAAGAGGCCAAAAGCTTTAGGTTCACCTGCACCATTTTAGACTCTACTCAGACCCATAGCTGCAAGCTTGGTTTTATCTATTTATAATAAAGAAAATACATAGCAGGCTTCCTACAAGTAGAAGACTCAAATCAAGTATTATTTTGAGGAAATGACTAATACTGTAATAAAAACACAGCTAATATGTAAGAGGCAATAATTTGTGCAATAACTGATGAAATTGGCAAAATTAAATAAGTGGGATCTGTCCAACTGGAAACAGATTCAAAAAGAATAATTTTGAAATGCCCACGTAAGGCTCCAATCCGAATCACGGACCTGTCGCATAAATCCCACAATTCATACTGAAACCCTAGAACTTAAGTCGGGTGCAAAAAAATACCAAGTAGATCTAAGAACTAAAACCTCAGAAGTTAAAAACAGGAATAAGACTAGAGCTCAGAAAAAAAAAATTCCTTAGGTTTAACATTTTGTACCCAATTTAAAAGAGTAATTTAAAATAATTATATGTTTATTTGTTTAATTTTTAAACAAAAATTTAAAGCATTAAGAGACTCTTACGCTAGACTTGTTGAAGGAATTCAGTGTTTAAGTTCCTAAGTAAAGTTTAAATGTTTGGTGAAATCTCATTGGTTATATGCAAATTTATTAGTTTTATTAGTAGCATGTTAATCATTCGAAAAACGGTAAAACAAATTGGAAATTAGACAGTGTAAAAATAGTTGTATGTATTCCTGTCATTGCACTAAGGCCCTTTGAATATTAACAAATCTATCACACACTGAGGTATGGGTTTTCCAATAATGAGTCATATCTCAAATACCTAGTTTTAATCTGCATTAACCCTACAGTGAAATACAAAGAAAATGCATAATAAGTATGTAGAGTAGCCTCTGTATACTGAGCACTTTCTCAGAAATGAGAAAATAACCTGAAATTCATAGCATGGTAAATTTAAGTAGTATAATAACTGAAAATAAAGGTTTTAAGTAAAATTAATAATGTAAGAATGCAGATAGGATCTCTGAGGTGTGCTTTACCATGATTGCATTACTTTGCTAGGGCTGCCACACAAATGACCTTCTTTTAACTTAATTACTTCTTTAAAGACCCTATCTAAATACAGTCACATTCTGGGGTACTGTGGGTTAGGACTTCAACATGTGAATCTTTGGGGGAAAACAATTCTGGTGCAAATAGCTTTTTAAATACTGCCCCTAAAATGTAAATCAGCAGGAAGGACAATTCATATATTATTTTTAAATATAAAGTCCAACTCTTAAGTAGATCTGTTCATAATAGTCATGTAGAGATTAGAAAGCAAAATCACCTATAAAAATCCAGATGAGCCTAATTCAAGATAGATCCTGAACTTTATATCCCACATGGTACTACAAATGAACTCCAAGATAGTTTATTTCCAGGCAAAATATTATTCTTAGTAGAGTGGTAACCTAGGTCAGTCATAGGCAAGGTTGTAAAATATCAAGACATACTTTCAATAATCTTTCACTTCCCTAAATTAATAAAGACTTCTTGGACTGGGGATTAAGGCTCCATATTTTATTGTTTGCCTTCCTATCAAAACTTTCTTGGTTTACACTCATACACTGCGCTGAAGAGTACAAATTGGTATTTTCTCTGATATTATTCCTTTTAATTAACATTCTACTCTGACCTTTCTCACTACCTTCTTTTTAAGGTCAATAGCTTTTAGATTTGTCCTTTTGAGGCTATTTTCTATATTTTGTAGGCATTCTTTCATTCGTTTTTATTCTCTGTTCTTTTCTCCTTTCTGACTGTGCTATCTGTAATAGTCTGTTTTCAAGTTCACTAATTCTTCTGTTTGATCAATTCAGCTGGTAAGGGACTCTGATACATTCTTCAGTAACTAAATTGCATTTTTCAGCTACTGAATTTCTGCTTGAAACTTATCAATTATTGCAATTTCTTTCATCTTTCTAAATATTACATGCACACTAACATTAATTGAGTGGTTTTTCTGAGAGAGGCACTATATCAAGTGCTTTTCAAGCATTTTCAATATTGCATTTGATAACAAAACAAAACTATTTATCTCCAATTTATAGAGGAACAAACTGAAACTTAGTTATGATTTGTACTCATGCTGTTTGACTCCAGCACCTATATTACAACACTTATATACTGCATATGCATTTTTAAAAATAAGATTTTACTTTCTAACTAAAATAGTAGTTGAACATCATCCTTGTAATATGTTAGCTATTTTCACAAAATCCACCCAAAGGAAAAAAATAAAAAAAAGAACAGTACCGACCTTGAGAATTTAGATTAAGTGTTTGGCTAATCTATCTATTGTCAGTCATTCGTTCCAACCATGTGATTTAATGGTCATTGTCTACCTGAAACTACTCCTTAGACATTTACAATTTTCAAAAAGCTCTAAAAGGGGTATAAATTGAAATTTTATATGAATGATTGCAAATTAATACAACTGAAGAAAAAATTGTGGTAGAGGTTTTCACACTTAGTAAGTATTAAAATATTACACATTTTGTAAAAAGTGGATTCTGCAAATGTCTGAACTTCTTAAGGATGAAAAAGATTAGTAAAGTTTACATTCATCTATTTACCAGACATTTATTTTGTGTCTGATTTGTACAAGGAGGTATAATGTTTTAGTTAAGGGCTGAGCTATAAAAACCAGCTGTCTGATAGCCAGTTGTGGTGGCAGGTGCCTGTAAGTCTCAGCTACTCGGGGAGGCTGAGGCAGGAGGATCTCTTGAGCTCAGAAGTTTGAGGTTACAGTGAGCTATGGTCATGTCACTGCACTCCAGCCTAGGGAATAGAGTGAGAACCTGTCTCTAAAAAAATTAAAATTAAAATTAAAAACACTACACGCCATTTGGTTTGTATCCCATTAATACAGTCTGTGTGATCTTGAACAAATTATATAAATATTTAGTTTTTAATTTATCATCTATAAAGTCAAGTTATAATAATATTTATGTGATAAGGAGTATTAAATAAAATACTCTGTGTAAAGTGTTTGGCACTGCATCTGACATATACAAAGTGTTCAATAAATAGTGTTATCAGCCAGGCCTGGTGGCTCATGCTTGTAATCCCAGAACTTTGGGAGGCCGAGGCAGGTGGATCGCTTGAGCCCAAGAGTTCAAGACCAGCCTGGACAACATGGTAAAACCCTGTCTCTGCAAAAAAAAACCACACAAAAAATAGCTGGGTGTAGTGGCATGCATCTGTGGTCCCACCTACTCGAAGGTTGAGGTGGGAGAGACACCTGAGCCTAGGAGGTCAAAGCTGCAGTGAGCTGTGATAGCACCACTGCACTCTAGCTTGGGTGACAAAGTAAGATCCTGTATCAAAAAAGAACCACCACCACAACAAAATAGTGTTAGCTTCAATATAAATACATTATGAAGTGAAAGAATCCAAATATGAAATTGGTGTGCATCTGGTTTGCCAGGAGATGAAGTTAATTTGTTGATTGAAATAATAATTTTATATAAATGATAATATATAAAATATATGGGTAGAGAAAATTTATTTTTTTAAAATAAAAAAGATAAACATAAATTGTCTAACTTTTAAAGATATAATAGAATATAAATTAAAAGACATGATAAATCACAAACAATAGCAAAATATAATACAAGTCTTAAAGTTGCTGAAATCTCAACAAACTATAATTACAAAAGACATTTAACCTGTAATCTCAGACAAACTGTGAATTCTGGTGTGAATTTTACTGGCATCTACTTATTTTGTGATCTAAATACATTGTATCTTGTTTTAATATTTAAATTTACTTACTATTTGCATTATCTCATATTAATGACTGTGACACAGGCTTCCAAGTATAAATATGTCTGCCACAGGTACAAATGGGTGTCAGACATGTTTTGTCACATTAGAGTAGATGGCACTTGAATAAATGGAGGGATGAATTAGGTTACATCATGTAAAGAAGTTGTCGAGTCATAAATAAAATATATAATTGGAAGAAGTAAAATCTAGGAGCAGCTATTAACTAGCACACTGGATGAAATGTTTGGGTGACTGAAAGTAACATAAAACCGTTTTCTAAAAAAAAATGGCAGGTTAATCACATTTGTGATTAACCTTCCTCCTTAGACACAATTAAAATAAAAAGAAAAGAGTAGAATATAAACAATTATAGACTCTCAAAAACACAGAGGAGAAGAGAAGAGGCATCAATAGAAGAGATAGAACATGGGGAAGTAAGTGGTAAATGATTCATCTGGGGTAAGGAAATGACGATAAAGTGTGTGCAGAGGGTACAAGCAAAGAGATTCAATTCACTAAGCAGAAGTTCAAGACAGCCTCAGAACTTGAAGGCCCCCTGACAGCACAGGAAGAAAGTGAAACATGATTCAGAAAAGATTAGGTTGGTGCAAAAGTAATTGCAAAAACCGCAATTACTTTTGCATCAACCTAGAAGTAAGTTGAAAGTCTAAACATGAAGAGTTAACACCTCTGCTACTCTTAGTCCCCGTTTCATGCAGAGGTTCTTCTCTGAATGAATTGGACATAGTACAATGACTTGGCATTCATCAACATCAGGCATAGTGCAGGATGGAGTGAGCCTTATCTTAAGTTGAACAAATAAAAATATTACCAGACCTATGACAAAAAATTCTGACAGAACATAATTTTCAACCAAGATTATATATGAAATCAAATTAATAATCACAGGTAGGAGCAAAATTAAAGATGTTTGGACACTTAAGAATTCAATAAATATATGATATTTGCATACTTTGGAAGCTACTCTTTGATGTGCTCCAGCATGATCTAGAAATAATCTAAAATTAAAAAAAAATATATATATATATATAT
Source organism: Homo sapiens (assembly GCF_000001405.40). Lineage (NCBI taxonomy): Eukaryota > Metazoa > Chordata > Mammalia > Primates > Hominidae > Homo > Homo sapiens. The sequence continues at coordinate 168,587 of NW_019805489.1, read as the reverse complement.
ATGGGATTGCTTATACAGATGGTCCAAAACAGAAGAGCAGCAATGAGAAATCCCAGGATGATAACTGTGCAACAGTCTTAGTAAGCAATTGTTCCAGACTGAAGCAGGACAATAGAATATTTCAGGAGAGAAAATACTGCAAATCTTGAAAAAATAAGGAATTTGGAGAAGTCAGTTATAGATTTCTAGTCACAATATGCATTGCATATCAAAAGCCTCTTGCTCTGGAAAAGACAGACCAACTAAAAAGATATTGTACTTAAAATCTTCAAAATACTACAGTGAGAAAAAAGCACACATATATGTATGAAGGCCTGCGATACCCGATGGTAAGGGACAGCAGACGATAGGTCCATAGTATTTAAAGACGTGTCCTAGGTACCGATTGGAAATCGGTACCTGTGGGTATTAGTCACATCAGTGTAGAACAGTTTTCCTGTGCTTTTTCATAACGAAAAAGCATGGATTCTGGAGAGTCGGAATATACTGAACTTATGCTATACTCTGAGATGATACTGGTAACTAGAACTGAAGAAACTGACCTTCCATTCATTTCCAGCTTATGAGTGATCTCAGAGCTGTTGAAAGTTTGTAAGTCTCCCTAGGAACTCGAGTCAGACAGGGAATGTATAATTTCCTTGATCTCCTGAAGCTACAGGTTTATTTTAAAGATTCCCATAGTGTTAAATTCCTAAAAATAAACAGACATTGTTACTCTGGGATTCTAATTGCTAGAAATGCTTCTGTATGCATGCATGTTTATCACCATATTGTAACAGAAAAATTAAAATGGTTTAAATGCTTCAAAATATGTAGACATCACAAATTATAGAATATTAATTAATAACATGGGAAAATAGTTAATATATTAAGTAAAAATCAGGTTGTTTATATATAGTATGTAAAAGGTTTATGAGAAGCAAAATATACATATAAATAAATATACATTGAGATAAAACTCACAGTATAATTTCCAAAATGGTGAGCTTATAAACAATTATATTTTTTGCATGTTTCTCTTCATTTTAAAATTTGTATACAAGAAGTATGTAATATTTTTAACATGAGACAACATTTTTTAAGCCTTGTATGTTACAAACAAGATAGAGAGGATGAAATTACACCAATACATCCAAGCTAATCCTACTTAGTTCTCAAACTGGTATCTGAGCTTCCCAGCTCCTAGGGAAATAAGAAGACTCCACAGATAGTACAGCTTTCACTGTGTGTATGTGTATGTCTATTATTTAAGAGTTCCGACAATAGTTTTTAATAAGGCATCCAAAAAGAAATGCAAAACAACATAATGACAATACTTGTACTAGCAGATTGAAAAAACAGTTGCATTTGTTATACCGGTGACTATTATAGACATCGACCCTTGGGAAAAGACATAGATAATAATGTTTGGTAAGGGAAATGCTACACAGACCAAAGTTAAGTTGCCTTGAGCTGTCTTTTGGTTAAAATATGCAGTTTTCACAGGCATAATGTCAACTGAAGTTTTGTACAAGAAATATTGTGCAGGGCAAAGTTAAATGATTAACTTATGTTGCTTTCCGGTGAGCTGGTGTAATATGAGAATTGAGCTTGGATTAACTTGAGCAGTAAATAGTTAACATGTGTAAGAGATGAATGTTTTACCTATTATGTTTCCTTAAGAGGGGAGCACATTTTTATAGCATTGGATGATCCCTATTTTACTACAGTTTTGACAACTTCAGTCTTGTTTTCAAGAGAAGGTAAATCCAAATTATACAAACGCGAGGTTGCTAGAAAGAGTGGCTCTTCATATTCCTTTCTCAAATAAAAAGATTTATTATATTTTCTGATGATAAAATTAATGTGCTTACTATCAAATTCAGAAAATAGAGGAAAGTGTGAAATAAGAAGAAAACCATCAAAAACTCCATGACCCCACTGTTATCATTTAAGTGCATTCAGCATTTAGTTATCAACATTTATATGTGTGTATACGTATGTATAAATACATACATATTTATATGAATATAAATATACAGAAAGATATGTGTACATAAGTTATGCACATTAACATATGTACACATAAATATCTGTTATAAACATAATTTTTCACTTTAAAAATGTATCATGAACCTATTTTCCAGGTAAATAAAAGCATATTTATAACACGCTTAATGGTGAAAAGAGCTAGAAGATGTTTTTAATGGAAGAAAGAGCCATATGTTCTAGATATCAGTCACGTAGTTATGAAAATAAAGGGGACTAGATGGTTTTCTTATCATCCAGTAATTATTTCTAAAGGTGTTATTTAAAATTAGTGGAATAATATTTACACAGCTGTATATGTATATACCTATACAGATGTTTACGTATAGATGAACACATATAATTTACATTTGTATATGAATATGTGTGTGCTTTAGTAATTCACTTGTATGTGAATTACATAATGGGTTAAATGAATGTGAACGATCTATTAATGCTTGGAATTGTCATGGAAAAATGGGTACAGGCTTCGCTCCGGGTACTGTTTCCCTGCCAAAGGCACTAGTTGTTGGCACAACTATCAGATATTCATAATCAAGATCCATTATGTGGGTTTCATCTCTCCCTTTGAATGGCACTTATCATCTTACCTGATTAGCATTTTATACTCCATATATCTTAATGTCTTTCTTTCTAAGATACTTTAAGGACAATGATAAAAGTGGGAATGCAGATGAAAAGTATCCTGTCTCTCAAAGCCTCAAATTCAACTTCAAGGGCTTCATTTCAGCACTTTTCAGAGCTGCCTGATTGACTACTCCATACACTAAAGAATGAGCAGCAATTGAGTCCAATCATGCTGAACTAAAAGGAGTTGTGGAAGGAAAAACTTTTGATGTAGAGTTCAACTGTAAGAGATAAACAGTATTATTCCACATTAAGAGGCAGCATTTTCTCATGTCAAAACTAAAAAGAACATTTTACCGTGGAAATTCTTTTGAAAAAATTCTTATTATATGCCTGTATTGAACAATTTGTAAGTCTGATATTTGTACTTTTGTAACTGCTACAGAGCTTTACCCAGAGGTTCAATTATGACCTTGCATGGTGGACCCATTCTAAGCAATGGATAACCTTGCTGAGGTCAGAAAATATCAAAAGTATTTTTTCTGAGTCTTTTTTTGAGTTTCATTTGCAAATTATTCCGATCATAATTTTAGTAAAAGGTGATTCTCAGTCTTTTTTCCATTTTATGGCACACAAAAACTGATAACATTTGTATCATTGCTATAAATGTTGGTGTATGCCCACAGATGGAGATAGATTGTAGGTGCTGACAGCTGCAAGCTCTCTATAGCCTCTCAGGTAATCCTCATGTGTAGCGTGGCAGGGTGGCATGGCCTACCAGTTAGAAAGTCTTGTTCCATAAGGATATTTTATAGTGTAGTACATTTCAGTGTGCCTTGTCCACAACTAATAAGTATAACAATGTGGAAAATAATTCTATTCTTCAAAAATCAAATTTCATATAAATGAAACAGTAAATAACTAGAAACATATATCGGGAATGATTTTTAAACTTTCAGCTGTGACAAACTTAATCCCAAAGTTAGTCTCTTAACAATAGCAAAAGTTTAAAAGCTCAACTATATAAAAATTTAAAACACATAAAGGCATACTCAAAAGACAAACTATTAAGAAGCTTTAGATAAGCACAGAAGACAAATACACAGATTGAAAAGTGGGGAGACAAAATTTACTATAGATTCAATATAAATAAAATCCAATGAAAACAAAAAAATTCAAGTCAATAAACAATTGGACAATAATATTTTATAGAACAATAAAATAATATTTATTGTATTATATTTATAGGACAATAAAATAATATTTATTTTATTATATTTATAGGACAATAAAATACTATTTTATAGGACAATAAAATATTTCCTGACAGAAAAAAAAAAAGAAAGAAATGTTGCAGCTCTGGGGTGTTGGAAGTGGCAGCCATTGAATGTTCTTAGAGCTTGGACAGACTTATCTGAATGCTGCTGCTGGAAAGGAATTTAAATGTTTTAAAAAAAGTCTCTATCCATCCTTGTGTTCAATTGTTCAAAGTAACCTTATTTGAAGGCTATAAGATATAGTCATTATATATCAACATTCTAAAATTTTCTAAAATCTCGTACCTCAAGTGCATAGTCTTGGTTTGAATTCCTAACTATAAGGTAATAATTAACCCAGCTATTTGGCTATGATGTTCCACGGATTGCCTACCTCCCTGTTTGGTGGGGAAGAGGGGATCTCCATTTTCTTTCGTTGTAACTTTCCAATTCATCCACTCCCACATTTAGGGTCTATTATTGCTACCATCCTGCTTCTGATGGTACTTTCCATACAAATAGTTACTTATGGTCCGGCGCGGTGGCTCACGCCTGTAATCCCAGCACTTTGGGAGGCCGAGACTGGCAGATCACGAGGTCAGGAGATCAAGACCATCCTGGCTAACACGGTGAAACCATGTCTCTAGTAAAAATACAAAAAAAAAAAAAAACTAGCCAGGCGTGGTGGCGGGTGCCTGTAGTCCCAGCTACTCGGGAGGCTGAGGCAGGAGAATGGTGTGAACCCGGGAGGCAGAGCTTGCAGTGAGCTGAGATCCTGCCACTGCACTCCAGCCAGGGTGACAGAGTGAGACTCTGTCTCAAAAACAAACAAACAACAACAACAAAAAAACAAATAGATACTTATGTTTTAAGCGAGGAAAAAGATTCATTAAAACAATAAAGAGAATTCATTACTTTCTTAATAGAAACTCTAAAGTGGGCAAGAATTGATCTAGCAACTTAAAGGTTATCATCAAGGACTTAATACCTCTCTGTCTCTCTGACCTATCTTCACACCATTACAGCAAAGAAGGGCTATCTTTCCCAGCACTCTCAAAGGAAACAGAAAAACTCCTATTTCCTGAAAGGCAGTCAACATCTCACTACCTCATTGGCTCTGTTTTTGTAATGTGTCCATCCATGAACTGATCATTGTTGACAGAGAGATGGGCCGCGATGATTAAGTCAAGTAGGACCCACCTTTAGAAGTGAGGGTCAGGACAATCTACCCATATCATCTGGCTAAAAACGGAGGAGGGTATGGGTACCAAGAAAAATCTAGGTGTTACTTTCCTAAAAGAAAGGGAGTAGATTAAAAGCAAAAATGTCGATTGTCATATACTAATGTAGAGACTATTACTTCTACTTACAGTAGTTTCATAAGGAATAATGCTTTATTTTTAAAATGAGAGTATATTTGGTTTTGGAGTAGAAGACTCAAAAGAAGTCTCTTCTACAAGGAGTAGAAGACTGTGTATCCCATCTAACTTAATTGTTTTCACTCAACAAATTGCAAACTTAGCTTACTTCTAAAAATTAATAGCATGCATGGTCATTTCTACTCTTGGGAAAATAACTGAGAATTACCCTATTTCACATAAGACACTATGGTAATGAGTTTTACTTTCTTATGACATGACATCTGTTGGTTTCAGATCAGTGATCCAGAACTGAAAAGTTTTATCTAGAATTGTCAAGCTTTTAAAATTTCATATGCTAACAACTTAGGTCTTTCTCTTTTGAATCAGAATGACTTGAGGAAACATCTGCCTTATTTGTTTGCCGTGGCATTTCCTCCCCTTTCTAATATTCTGGAATATGGGTAATGAGAACAGGCTTCATTCTATACATGGCTATGAACACCATATACCAATTTAACTATTTTTAATTAATCAATCCATGCAACCAAATATAAAATAATAAAATATGTTGCTTGATTTTCATTATGCTTCCCTAACTATAACCCATTCTTCTTTGAGATCATAGGTGTGAATTTTTTTTAATATAATAGTATTACTTAATTGCCTTGTCAAAATATTCCTTTAATATATTTTTCTAAATATTTGTGTAATATCTTTTTATGCTACCCTTAGTTTTATTTGAAGTTTTAGGGTCAGCGTAAATACTTATCCACAAAAGCAATCACTTTGATAAACGTAATTTTTCATTCTTCCTCAATAGCAGTTTTTATTTTATTTCTGGATGTTAAGATGAAATCCTGGTCTGTTAAGCCCCAGCAACTGCTGCCATGGCTGCCATCCACAGGGAAATCCATCAGCCATTTCATGCTCATGCCAATAACCACTGTCACCAGCTATTCAGATTGGCTTTTTATTATATATCTGGCTTATAACCAGTGATAGTGTTATTCTACATGACTAAATCTTCCAGCCTCTTCTAGTCAAGCCGGGGATGTCCTGGAAGGGATTCTGGTCTAAGTACAAACACGTTTTCATAAAATTTATGTTTTATTGCATCCTTTTCCAATAACTTATCAGTAGAAAAATGGAATTCTATGGAGCAGGCATGTGAAGTATGGCCTTAGCACAATCTCAAAGGTAAACATTTAATCTCACAATCAGTTCAGTTTCTCTAACCTCAGATCTACTTGAAAGTAAAATTAGAACATGTGAGGGGGGAAAACACTTTATTACTCATTAACTTGTTGGTTTTGAGAGAAACTTTAAAAATTCAAATTTAAGAAAAATCACATTTAATGAATGTTTTAATTTACACATAGATGAATGTGCACGTATGTGTGCACACACACATCCCAGCACCTACACACCAGACAAATGGAAAAGCTGGCATAGAAATTATTTCTGAGTAATGCTTAACATATCCCACAAATTTTAGTCAAGTAATAGAATGCTTGTTGGTCATCATATTGTCTACATGTTCTAGATTATAGCTAGACTCAACACTAGAGTAAATAAAGGTCTAGGTCTTCAAACTAATTCGTGCTTGTCCTCTAACTCATATTATGTGTGCCCACAATCTTTGTTCAATTTCTTTTGAAAGAATAACAAGAGAAATTACTAATTATGTCAAACATTCAAAGAAACATCTTTGATGTAGAATTAAACAAAAGTTGAAGTATTTCAATGAAGGGCAATGTTTTTTCTGACAAGAGAATATCTCAGCTATTCATGCTATTAAACTCTACACTGTTTTCCATTTCAATAATGTCAGCTTTATCATGTCACTTTTCCTCTTGGCATTTCCATTTCAGTAGTGTTTGCTTTGTTTTGGCCTATTAATCCCCTTACTTAAATTGGTGCCAGTCTTTCCCAGACTACATAGTTCTTTGATAGATATACAGTAAAGGAAATAATTTAAAAACATGCATTTCTAGCAAACCTGGGAATGGCAGACATCCTATGCCTTGTCAAGAAGTTACTTACCATATCTGGATTAGACACATTTTCTGCTACATACACACAGTCTTCCAAGTAAATTTTTCTACTACAATGTATCTTTACATTAAGTTGTTCAGACACTGTTTGCATTTATTTAAGAAGACATTGTACTAATAATTCTGAAAACTTATAATGATATGTGGATTGGACTCCAGAAAGGGGCAAAATATTTAATATCTTCATAGGTTATTATGTGTGTTAGAAGAGGAAGAATTCTCTTCATATAAGAGCTCTGTGGATATACTGAGGACTAATCATCAAACCTGGAACTAAGGTTCCTGGAGGAAGAAACACAGAAATCTGCTCTTAGTTCATGGATAGTGCTTTGGATGGGCAAATAAATTATGTTCATTTGTAGAATAATTACTTTAGAACCCACTAAGTACCAGATACACATTTAGGTTTCAGGAATACATCAGAGTACAAAACAGACAACTATGCCTCAGTGTCCTCCTGTGCTTTACATCCTAGAAGGAGGGACTGACAGAAACAGTCAATAAGTAGATTACATAGAATATTATACGTGCTATGATAGTACAGGGTAAGGGATTTGGTAGTGCTTGGGTGCAGTGGGGATTGCAAATTACAGAAGGTAGATGAGGTGGGTCTCGCTGTGAAAAATCACAATGGCAACAGAGTGAGCAAAGGGGAGAGTAGTAGATAGGGTCAGTCAAGTAAGAAGGCCAGGTTTTGCAGGGCCTCTCCGGCCATTATAAGGACTTTGGCTTTTACTCTAAGTGAAATGAGAGAAAGGGCACAGAATGATCTGACTTAAGTCTTCAAGGATAACTGGCTACTTTGCTGAGAATGGGTTGTATGGGGCAAAGGGGAGGAAAGTGGTTAAAAGGCTACTGAAATCATCTTAGATGGGATAAGAGTGGAGGGAGAGAAGGTGGCAAGATACAGTTGCATCCTGGCTGTAGGCTGACAGAGAGCCAATAGGACTTCCCACTGAAATGTACAAGTGGTATGAGATAAAGAGAGGAGTGAAAGAGGTCTCCAAGGTCTTTGTCCTAAACAACTGAGTGAGAGTTAAGGTGCCTGATATCGCACAGAAGACTGAAAAGAAAAAAAAACATTTCATATAGTAATCTGTGTTATGGCACTCATATCGTTTCTAAATCAGCCTCCAAGAGAAATTTTGCCACATTTAAAAAGTTTCATTCTAGAGAGCGAGTGGGGCCTCTCTCTTTGTGAAGCTATTTAAGAATGATAGCTCCAGAGATTTGGGGGTGTAAGTTCACACACAGCCTGAAGATGACGAAAAACAGAAGTCAGAAGTATGAATGTGGAGTTTCAAAACACAAAATTTATCATTGGTGAAGCCAAAATTGCTGAAGGAATAGAGAGAGAAATGCTAACTGGGTAACAAACGTCCTTTGAGTCACTAAGAGACGAGCTTCAGTGAAGGGAAGTGGAACTAGAGACTACGTAGTGAGGATTAGACTCCATGAGTCCTAGAGGTGAGCCTTCTTTTTAGCCTGTCCCGTCCCAGAAAAAGAGATTTGGGAAGTCTAGGATACTTGCACTCTGTTTTGAGGAGCAGGATAAAGGTAATATGTTATTCCCTTTTGACTGTACTTCAGATATGATGTAGTCTTGCAGTGGAAAAATAAGGTTTATATGTTTTGCAATATTTAAACTTGCTTTTGACAAAATCTCTTGATTTTCAGAACAACTTTTTGAAGTAGGTAAGACAAGTGTCTTAGTCAGTTCAGGCTGCTATAATAGAATACCATAAACTGGGCAGATTGAGCAACCAATGTGTATTTCTCACAGTTCTGAAAGGCTGGAACTCTGAAATCAGGGTGCCAACATGGTTAGAGTTTTGTTGTCAGCCCATCTCCTGGTCCACAGATAGCTGTCACTTCATTGTATCCTCACATGGCAGAGAACAAAGAGGAAAAGCAAGTTCTTTCCTGTCTCTTCTTCTAAGAGCTCTGTGACGGTTAATATTAAGTGTCAACATGATTGCATTGAAGGATGCAAAGTATTGTTTCTGGGTGTGTCTGTGAGGGTGTTGCCAAAGGAGATTAACATTTGAGTCAGTGGACTGGGAGAGCCAGACCCAGCCTTAATCTGGATGGGCACCATCCAGTGGCTGTCAGCGTAGCTAGAAAAAGCAGGAAGATGAAGGTGGAAAAGCTAACTTGCTGAGTCTTCCAGCCTTCATCTTTCTCCCCTGCTGGATGATTCCTGCCATTGAACATCAGGTTCCAGGTTCTGTGGCTTTTGGACTCTTGGACTTAGACCAGTGGTTTTCCAGAGGCTCTCAGACCTGCAGCCACAGACTGAAGGCTGCATGGTTAGCTCCCCTACTTTTGAGGTTTTGGGACTCCCACTGAGCCACTACTGGCTTCCTTGCTCTTCAGCTTACGGACAGCCTATTGTGGGACTAATACCTTGTGATCGTGTGAGTGAATTCTCCTTAATAAACTCCCTTTCCTATATATGTATATCCTATTAGTTTTGTCGCTGTGGAGAATCCTACCTAATTCAGACTCTGACCCCATTATGTGAGCATCACCATCATGAGCTAATTACCTCCCAAAAGTCCCACTTCCAAACACCATCACATTGAGGAATCAGGTTTTAACATTTGAATTTTGTGGAAACACAAACATTCAGTACATAGCAACAACATGAGTATTATTGTTCCTATTTTATAGAAAGATGAAACAAAACTGAAGCTAAGAGAGGTTAAGCAATAGTCAAGGTATTACAAAGCCAATACATTGTTAAACCAGGATCACTTTTTCTAGATATACATTCATATACAAATCTTGTGATCCCTGCATTCTTACTGTTACCCATTCTTAACCAATACAGTTGGGAAAGCCCAGGAAGTATTAAGGCAACTGGCAGCTATACTTCCACTAAAAACTAGTGTACACAGGCAAAGAGCACACTGATAAGAACAGCAAGTAACAGTTCTGTTGTCTTAACAGAGAAACACATAGTCAAGCTTTCACTTCTTGTTTCCATGTGACAAAAAAGCAAAGAAAAAAAGATCAAGTGTTCATGCTCCTGGGTAAGGTTGCTAATTTAACCAATGTAATTTGCTATCGATAATGCAGTCGTTAACTACAGCTTTTAGCAAGTCTTGGCCTCATTAGCCTCAAGTCTAATCAACACTAAATCAATTTATATAAACAAAATGTCTGTGAAATGACATATATCCCTGTACATATTTTACTGGGTACATTATAAAATGCTTCCCTACTATAGTATTTTAAGAATGATTTTGACATTATTAAAACATAATTTATTTTCTTTATTAAAGAAAGTGAGTTGACTTATGTTATTTTCTTAGAATTAATGGCAACAGTAAATGACTATATAGCATACTTAGTTTGAAACATACAATATCCATACAGTGGCATTTTAACTATGTTGACAGCAATTTTATAATGATTAAAAGGTATCTTGTAAACATGATTTATGTTACTTACATAGCATTCGCAAATAATTATTTCTTTTAAGAGATACTTTCAAAAACAGATATTTTCAGTGATTTGAAAATACTGATTATAATGCTGCTCAAATAAACCGTGAACTGTTTTAACAAATATGTATATATTATAAATGTAACTAATACATTTTTTTCTAAATGTGTTTTCCTAACAGATAAACTTTCAAAGTAAGAGGAAACATTTTACTTTTGGTACACCTGGGTACACTATTCATGGTAAATGGTATTTATCTGTATGGTTTTTCTTATAATTTCAGCCCTTGCCCAAATAAAGTATTTGACTTTGAAGTGGTCCTTCTACTAAACTGTGTTGCTCTTTAGTTATCTGTTTGACTAAGAGATTCAGTTGGTCATAACTTTACTCTGCTTCCAGGACTAGCTGCTTAAAAAATGTGAGGTTAGCCTGCTTCCAGAAAACAATATAATAATCAATAATATATAAAGATGTATTTAGTACAGGACCTGGGGTGCACATGCTCACTAAATATTAGTAATGGCAAAACCAGCAATTACGTTTGCGTCAAACTAATACTTATTTTCCCTTCTATTCTTCTCAGTGAAATGTCTGCACTGCTTTCAGTACCCAATGCTGAGACTTTTAATCACCCAAGCACACATTCAATTAATTTCTTACCCAAACCAGTAACCAGTAGCCCATTGCTTTTAACATGGGACATCTGTGTTTGAGTCAACGGTCCTCTGCAACCTAGTCCTGAACACCAAATGCATTCCCTTGAGATGACTATGAAAACCAAACATTATTGAAGTTCTAGCCCTGAGCATGGCTGACTTGAGGTCAAATTCAGTTACAAAAAAAATATTAATAGAAGTGGAAAAAAATTAAATGATAGATTAGGAGACATATTAGGTACAAGCACTTGATAAGTACCTTGAAAGGAAGAAAAATAAATAGAAAAATAAGAAAAAAATATTAGCAAAGAAGTCAGGAAAAAAGATGTTTAAAGGGTCAGGAAAAGGAGAAAAGGAAAGTTAAAAAAAAAAAAAAAGCCAAAAAGTAAAGTCAATTGCAATTAAATCTGTTTTATGCCTGGCACATAGCTTACTATGTGCATGCTTTCTAAAGACTTAATGACTCTTTTTTCCTCCAACATATCTCCATAAACTTCCTGTATATATCTTTAATAGAATAAGATGCAATTATTAGGATACAGAGGTTGAAAATATATGTTATTATATATAACACAGCAATTTGATATATAAAAGTTTTGCTAAATTAGTATCACACCCTAGGTAGGTTTATTTCTCAAGTAGTGATTTTGTGCATTTGTGAAATTCAGACCTTTTATTCAGGTATGTTTATTTTAAGGAACAGGTATGTTTATTTGAATGAAGTGGACTCAACTAACAGGTGTTCCTGTCCAAAAGACGTTGTTGGAATGAGCAGATAGGACACTTACAAACAAAAGTTAATTCCCCACATCTAGTAAAAAGTTTAAGGAAATTACTAAATGTCCAGAAAATAAGTAAGAGTATCAAGTGTTAATCTCAAAAGATTATGTTAAATTTCTACTATCCTTCCCTCATAAATTTTCCAGACCAATATCAGAATATTATCCAGATAGAGTATTAATGTGTCCTAAATTTACTATTATTTTGTAAGCTGAAAGGGAGAGATAATCTCAACAAAATTAGTAGGTTAGAGAAAACATAGACATGAATTAACTACTTTTAATGAAGCAATGGGTCTGTATGAAAAACTATTTTTTAGAAATCTGTGTGAATTGTGAACATGATGAGAAGATCTTTTGAGAAGATATTTCTGAACATATACAAATGATAACTTACACGTCATGATGAAAGATTTTCTCAAAGGGAGCTGGAAGTTATATTGTAATAATAAATGCTTTTAAAGACACTGACAGATTAAAAGACCGCACCATAAACCAAGGCTTTAGTTACTTAAAAAGCTTTTGATGAAATAATCTCTACATCTGCAGTCTACGGTTCCATATTTGAAGCTAACAATTTATGTGGTTTTATCTTTTGAGATACACTTGGTCATTGGAAATTTAATAGTCAACAGCAGCCTCTTGAAAACTTCAGATTTAAGGAGCCCCCTGTGCAAACTGAAGAATTCACTGAATATAAAATTATAGTAATTTTAGCAGACTTAGAATCTAATGATTACTTTAACATTCATGCTGAGATTTTTCTGGATGTTGGCTAATATGTATCCCTTAGATAAGTATATTTTAGTTTCTCCAATTTTTTTCTTATTGAAAAGTGAATAACTTTTAATATTTTTTTTCCCAATAGTACTGTAAGCTTCGCCTCAGTGCAATGATAAGTTTTTGTGTCTCTAGGCATGAGTTGGAACTTTTGAAAGATGAATTTTTTTCTGGAGATACACTGAATATACATGTATTAAAGTTTATATCTAATGGCACTCCAATCCAGAAGTAAATACCGATTTCTTTTACCGTAGGTTAGTTCTAGGACTTTTCATAAATGTAATTGTATAATATATAGTTCTGTGTCTAGATTCTTTTGCAAGTCACAAGGTTTTGCAATTAACCCATGATGCTGTATCTGCCAATAGACTATTCTTTTTTATTGCTAGGTAGTATTTCATTATATGAGTAAACCACGGGACAATTTATCTGTTTTCCTCCTGATAGACATTTAGGTTGTTTGGGCTATTATGAATAAAGCTGTCCTGAACATGCTTGTGTATGTTGTTGTATAATGTATTTTCATTTCTCTTGGATAAATACCTAGACTTGTGACTGTTGAGTAATATGACTGATATATGTTTGTCTTTATAAAAAATAGTCAAACCATTTTTTCAAGGGATGGCGCCATTTTACACCAGCACGAGTGAAGTTGCTCCAAATACCTATCAATTTATGGTGCTGTGGTCCTAGAGTCAGCATTTTGAAGCAGTAGCTTTTTGTTCCCCAAGCTTCCTAATTGAAAAGGGAAAAGAGTATGTAGACACAGCTATATACACACACACACACACACACACACACACACAGTGGCATTGTTAGTAATGACAAAGAAATCTTTGAAATGTATATAAATGTTAAAGAAAATGAATTGGTTAGTAAAGGCAATATAGCTATATAATAATACACATACATTAATTGGCCATTTTTATTTTCAAAAACAATTCAAACCTACAAAAGAGTTGTAAGTATATTACAATGAATTCCCATATATTGTTCATCTACATTCACTTATGTACCAATGATAATACTGCTTTTTTAAAAAATAGCAGCTACTTATAGTATTTTAAAAGGAAAAAATTACAGATCGCATTTCCCTTTAGGTAACGACATAATCTGCATGCATTACACAAAGAAAAAATGTTCTCAGTGTTTCTCTCTGGATAGTAAAATTATAGGTGACGAATTATGTTTTTCTTTTTGCCCATGTATAGTTTATACACTTTTTACAAAGAGCAGGATAAGATAATAAAAGGAGCTATGTTAGTTCTCAAGGAGCTATTTTCTAATATACATAGTTCTTTTATTTAAATTCTAGGTTAAAGTGAAAATGTCAATCACCCTTGTGAATCTTTATCAAACTAGAGCAGCAGCCCACCTTATTTAGGGATTGTACAATACCTTATTATTTTTGGATCCTATGATTACCTACTGAATATTACTGAAATCTGATTAATATTTTAGAAGTCTGTATAAAGCCAGAAAAAACTATTTTATTTCAAGGTTGACAACTTTATGTAAAACATAATTGATAAATTAATACCTTTCATTTAGATTCTGAAATTTCAAAGTAAATAATTCTGGATTACTTTACTTGAAAAAGGGTGCTGTGGAATAGAATACTACTTTTGATGCTATGATTCTAAAACAGATTTTTCTCCCTAAACCTCACTACATCATGTCTATTTCAATCCAGGCTACTGCCATCTTAAACTCCTTCTGGAGTTACCATTGATTACAGAAGACAAATGAGTTAGAGTTGCTTGTGGATGAGATGGTTGCCATTGATATATGTCTACAACAATGCGCTATGTTTATGTGGTTATACAGTCTCAGAAAAGAGTTGTAAACATTAACACTAGACCTAAAATTTTCATGGTTTCTTGTATTCCACCAATGTTTATCGTATATGGCTTGTAGATTTAGAGCCAGAATTTGTTAAGGCACAATATAGATAAACTATAAATATGAAAGCTCTTAGCCTAGAAACCAGAGGCACCTAGAAATAAATTATAGGCTCTTTTATATATTATAAAAGCTAAACAAACAAACACAAATAAAAGATGAATTTATGAATGAATTACTTTATAAATAAATGTTGACTAAAGCAGTCATCCATAAAAATATTCACTTCCTCTTCCCTACATCAGTGCAGTGTTTGAGCACCTGAAGGTAATTCTTCCTATCTGAGAATTCTTCCTTAGGCTGAATTGAAATTGTTTCTGTAAACCTTGAAGACATACATAAAATTACTATCCATGGCCCTTAGGAGAACTGTTTTTTCAGGATTAAAATAGCTTAATGTTCTGCTGCTCAATTTATTTCATAATTCTCACCTTAAAATTATAATTTTGCAACTAAAAATACAGTTAGTAGTAGTAACTATGGAGAGATTCATGTCAGGTTATAAGACACTTAAGGCTATAAATTTGCAGGTGAAATTCCAGATCAAAGGGAAGGAGTAATCAGTGCCTTCAAGCCTTATCAGCACTGTATATAGAGTTGTGCTTCTGAAAAAGTGTATTTGCACTGAAAAATGCAAATTGTGGATCTTGACATTTGAAAAATTCATTATCAAAGTGAAGATATTGGAAACTTCGTTTTTGTAGAATTTCATATTTTAAATATTATAGGGTTTGTTTAAAGCAGCATTCCTGTGGCCATTTTTCACAAGATGATTGAAGGAAAATGTTCCAGAGTAAAACAAGTTTGGAAAAGGCTGCATGTTCTATTTAGCTTTGGATCTTTATAATGCAAGATAACATACTGAAGGTTCTACTTTGTATACCTTTCATAATGCGCACTGGGAAATGTTTGTTCAAAGTAAGTTCATTGGTATATTTGTTTGTTTAACTATTTATTTAACATTATTATTACATTGATTACCTTTTCTTTCATTGAATCAAATTATTTTGTTAAAGATTCAAGCAAACCATTCAAACACAAAATTGTTTAATCAGGTTACAACTTAAAAAGAGAAATGGCAAAAACCAAGAATCCACAATTTATAAAATTTATCAAAGATAAGTACATAACAACAGATAATAAAATTACCCCAGTACTTATTTTTGAGACGGTTATTATTTTGTTCAGCAAAAAACTGTTTAAATTTATTTCATTATTCATTAAAATACTATATAAATTGTCATATGTCATAAGAACGAATATCACTATTGTAGTGTTATGTAAATTATTAATTGATAGCATTAATGATAGGTTTTTAACCCAAACATGTAAGACTTGATCAGTGTTTAAGGGGGGAAATAGAGCAACAATTTATCAGAGTAAATTTCATATTTTAAATGGAAAAGTGTACTGTACTGCATTAATGATACTGTTACAGAATTTTATCTAACCTCCCAACAGTAGTGATTCACTAATACCTGTCCTGAGTAAACAGTCACTCTTTCAAGTCCTGAAGAGGCCTGTGTCCAGTGTACCAATCAAAAAATTGCAGACAAAAAGTAACTCAGCTTAAGCCATTTTAACAATGTGATATTAATTATGACGGGATGGCTGAGTTCAAGCTAAATAGTATTTCAAGTTTCAAATTGTTTGGATTTCTTTTTGGTTACATAGTCCTAATATATAAATCAGCTGCCTTCTGAAAATTGGAGTTTTAAGCAGAATCTCACTAAGACTTCTCTTGTTATCTAAATCTAAATAAAAAGGGATTTACATACTGTCAGTATATACTGAACAGAAAACCTTGTAAAACAGTAGTAAACTGGAGGGATGCATTAGTTTTAACACAAAGCAAAACCTTGTAAACTCAGGAGATAGATAAACCTGCCAATAGAATCACAATTCTAAATGTGAATCTTTATCGAAGTGGTAACTCAGTGTAAAGAAGGGTTTTAAATCAGTTCATTAGTCTTTATGGTCGCTTCCGTTGACTAGAAGTAAAACCACCAGCAGAAAGGAAGATAAATTAAGGAGTACCCCCAGAAAAGAATTGCAATTCATGGTAAATAAGAAAACAGAATTTCTCTCATTAAAAACTAAACAAAACAAAAATATATAAACAAAACCCAAAAAAATCTATGTCATGTGTCATGAAAGACAAGTTAACAGAATGTTTCCACATCAGTTGTACTGTTATATCTTACAGGAAGCAGAAAAGAAATTAAGCTTTGTTTCAGTACTGAATTAAATCATCAAGAGCGGAGTGAGAAGACAGCTATTTTTATTTTAGCACTGTACCTTCTGTGATCTGCTACTATATATTCGGTCAACAATTCTTGTGGAAAAAAAAGTTGCAAGTAACCAAAAAAAGAGTGTTTGGAAAAAATAAGTCTAAATTGTGTCACCAGTGAAACAATATAAAATGAAGCAACAACAACAAAAACCCTTGAATGGCTCTATTGAGGCAGTAATGCCATCCAAACCCAGAGCAACACATGGACTGTTCATCTCACATTGTTTTCCACATTTTTTGCACAGTGACTATTTGTAACTACATGTATATGCAAAAGCATATTATGAAAATCCAGTAGCAGATAGAAGTCTTTGGTTAAAGTTGGAATAACAAACACATAAATATGAAAATGATATAACAGGATGGAGCAAAAATAGAAGACAA
Organism: Homo sapiens; assembly: GCF_000001405.40. Lineage (NCBI taxonomy): Eukaryota > Metazoa > Chordata > Mammalia > Primates > Hominidae > Homo > Homo sapiens. Next base: position 151,074 of record NW_019805489.1, on the reverse strand, counting down.
AGGAACGAAGGTACAGTAAATTAAGTGATTTCTGGTTAGGACTTTAATTCATTTGGCCTTTTCCCCTTTCAACAGCTCTAAAAAGTAAAATATGCAGGTGTTTTCCAAACAAAGTTACAGGCTTTCAATTATAAAATAAAGAAGTTCTATAATTCTTTGGGAAATTAATATGCTAAATATCATCATTCTGAATTGACTTTAGTCTGAAATTCACCCATGACGTGTTAATGCAGTCAATACAGAGTCAGGTTCGAAAGTGTTAGAAGAGATTTAGAAAAGTAGTAACATCTGTTCTAAAAGATGCTTGATGATGCATTTATATATTGATTTATATATACACTGAAAGAAGTTTAAGAAACATCTGTAAAGTTCTAAGCTATTTATAGGATTCTGGATTTGGTAACCTATCTGCTGTTTGTTTCTCAGCAAGTGTTCAAGAACACAGCTCTCAATGTTTTGGTGTTTGCCCCCAGAAAGATGATGTGGGCCTTTTCTCTGATGCCTGACCTGAGGAAATCCTTTCAAATATTAAAATCATAGCCTAGTGGTATTGTTTCAAGGGAATATCTATTGACTTATCCAAGAGCTTGTGCAAGCTCTAGGGTATAACAAGGTTTAATTTAGATTTATTACAAGACTTAGTTGTTATTTTTATTATTCCAGAATATGTAAATATAAAGTCAAGACAAAAATAATAAATATCTCTGTTACTTGAAAGTCAGGGCTCCAGTCACTCAAGCAAAAATGTCAGACGTGTTGTTTTTATACCCTAAAGAATTGTGGCATGGTCAGTCAGAAGGTAAAACAATACAGTGGCTGTTAGAGAAGTAACTGTGTAAGTACCTCAGCAGACAAAGCTGTGGCATTTTAGTCGCCCTCACACAAGAAGAAAAGAGCAGAAGCATAACAACTTTGCACTCAATTGAGCAAGAAAATGGGAATGAGCATTATTTCTTGTGATTTGAAGAGAAATACTGTTTTTTGTTTGTTTGTTTTTTACTTGATTGAAGGATTGAGGTTTGAAAAGACAGATGGCTAAATTTAAGATTCTGAGTCCACTCAGTTTTTTGCCACTGTCATATAATGCATGTTTCCAAATTAAACCAATCATATTTTCCCTTTCCTGTGAATTCTAGGATAGCACATATCACACTCACTCTTATATCTTAGCTATTTATGCACATCTGAAGTTCTTGGTAAAATTATAAGCTCCTGGGCAACAGGGGCATTTCATCTGCTTACTGTGTCCTACAACACTTAAAGCAATGCTGTGCACAGCTTGGGTTCTCTTTAAATATCTAGCACGTCAGTAGGCTTTGCAACAAACGGGATATTCACAATGAAGACATAATACTATAGACAAGTTAGGAGCTCAAAAACTCCAACGAACGTAGTTGACTTGAAATATATGTATGCATTTTGTGGTGCTTTGTATATAAAAAAAGTAAAACAGGAAATTAAAGAAGAAACTACAAAAATATCTTTGCTACTGTTTCAGAGACTTAAAACAACAACAACGACTACAACTACAACAACATTTGGCTGGGTGCAGTGGCTCATGGCCGTAATCCCAGCGCTTTGAGAAGCCAAGGCAGGAAGATCACTTGAGACCGGGAGTTTGAGACAAGTCTGGGCAACACAGCAAGACCCCCATCTCTACAAACTATTTTTTAAGAAATTAGCTGGGCATGGTGGTGCATGCCTATAGGATTAGCTACCTGGGAGGCTGAGGGTGTTGGATTGCTTTAGCTCAGGTGTTTAAGGTTACAGTGAGCTATGATCATACCACTTGCATTCCAGCCTGGGTGACAAAGTGAGACTATGTCTCTAAAATTAAATTAAATTAAAAAAACACTGTCTGTCCCCTGCAAAGTTTTACAATACTGATGTAATTATTTAGTTTTAATCAGGTTGGCCAGTTTCTGGCAGGTGCTGCAAAAGCAACATTTAAATAGAATATGGCTAGATGGACTGCTTTCATATGTGCAAATGCTGCAGGTTTTCCCAAAATAACCTGTTAGAAATTTCATTGCTATTTTCTTAAGACTTACAGAATGCTGCCTAAAATATGGATGACCAAATTATGTTTTTCTAAAGGCAAAATCAATACATTCTGTGATCTAGAAAAGATGATTTTGAAAACTAAGAGCAGAACAGCAACATATAGGGAGAGGTGCATATGTGTTTGTTTTGCATCTTAATTTTAAAACTATTATTTGAAGATAAATCTTATCTTTAATTTCATAATCTACTTTGCATGAAGGCATTTGTGTTTCACTAAGAGGTCACTCACCTGTACATCTTTTTGTACATTTAAGGAGTCAATGGAAATAAAATTACAAAAAAGGGCTTTTATCCCCCCAAGAAATTAGGTCTTAGCAAGGATCTCTTATTCTCTACTCAATCAGAGGTGCTGGCACTCCACTGATGTCTATAGAACATCCTAAGGTCTCCAGTAGAATAAATCAAGAAATAAATATATAATATATAATACACAAATATATACAATACTAAGTGTGTGTGTGTGTGTGTGTGTGTACTTAAATGTTTGTGCATGAAAGAATGTATAATTACAGTTTATAATGCTCCTTCAATATGAATACTGGGTTAAAGTAAGTTCACCATGTTCTTTATAATAAGGTGCTGGGGACTTGGGGCAGAGCAAGGTGGAGGAATAGAAGGCTCCACCGATTTTCCACTCAAAGTGGACACCAATTTAGCAGCTATCTACACAAGAAAAAACCTTCATAAGAACCAAATACAAGGTGAGCACTCAAAGTACTTGGTTTTAACTTCATATTGCTGAAAGGCACTGAAGAGGTAGGGAAAAGCAGTCCTGAATCACTAGTGGCAAACCTCCCCCCAATGCCAGCAGCAGTTGTGTGATGCTGAGAGCGTGACTGTGACAGAGATGCCGTATATCTTGATTGTGATTGTGTATACATGGTTATATACATTTGTCAAAATTCATCAAGCTGTACATTGAAGAATGGAGAATCTTACTGTATGTGAATTATACCTCAATATATCCAGTAATTGTGACTTGAGCGATAAGACTATCATATCAAGATGTTGTCTGATAGACCAGATACTGTGGGACTACCAACTCCTTGATTTGAATAACATTCTATAAATGTACTTAAAACTGGTGTTTGATTTAGGACATCCATTTTATAGTTTTGTTTCATATCAAGCTTGTAATCCATTAAAACATCCTATATGTATCTAGCTTATAAAAAATTAAATGCAGTATTTCATAATAATACTTTAAAGATTTCATCTTATGTATTTAAATCTATTATATGAACTTGATGAAATCTTTTGTAATCTACATATTGCTATACAAAGGATTAGATATTCTATACAGTCTTGTGTCATTTACAATTTAGTCAATATGCTTTTTTCACAAATCATCAGAAAAATGCAAATAAAAAAACCACAATGAGATACCACCTTACCCCAGCCACAATGGCCAATATTAAAAAGTTAAAAAACAGATATTGGCATAGATTGTGGTGAAAAGGGAATGCTTATATGCTGTTGGTGGGAATGTAAATTCGTACAACCTCTAGGGAAAACAGTATGGAGATTCCTCAAAGAACTAACAGTAAATCTACCATTCAACACAGCAATCCCACTACTGTGTGTACACTCAAAGAAAAATAAATCTAAACAAATTAATGAAATATCTTTGTCCTTAATCATTGATAAAATCTTCAGTATTGGAAATGAAGTTACATATGTTCTGGATGTTATCATTTTAGTTCTTTTTTATTTCAAAAAAAGGCTTTATGTATTTCTTTTAATTTTTACTACTGGTGAATTGTTTTAATTAAATCATGTAAATTACTGTAAAGTTTTGTTTTCTTCGTATCTCTTAACACTTATAGATTTGAGTTGTTTATAAAATGTATAAACCTTTATATATTTGAGTTTTAAAAATATATAATTTTTTAAAAATGTGATATTAAATTTTTGTATGAGAATATATATTAAGTTATTTATATTCATTCCATAAAATTAGACATATATATATAAGTAATCCCCATTGATTGAAATTACATAATGCTATCCTTTGCTTGAAGTTGTGATATTCCTAACCTTCTAAATTGTTCTGTGAAACATGAACACATACATACACAGACACACGATCTCAACAGAAAAAAAATATTTTCTATACACATTCCAGTTCATTTTTACATTTGTTAGTGTGCAAACATTTTCAATTATAGAACAGAAAAGATTCCTCTTCCAAAAAGTGAGGTACATGTTGACATGTACGTCATCATTTGTGAATCATCAATCATCACTTGTGATTGAGAAACCATACTGTATTCTCACATAATTAGGTTTAGATACTGAAATATTTTAGTCCTGTTATAAGATGTGCAAAGATATTTTAAATAGCATTATATTCTCAGAAATAACATTATGTAGATTTAATACTTCTTAATAATTAACTATTTCTATTTACCCATCAATTTCAATGATTAAATATCTTTCAAGATTCTCAAAATATAAAACTTGTCACACACGATAAGAAAATGACACATTTTTAAACCAACCCTCCTCTATTTCTGGATACTTGAGATCACTATTTCTTCTACCTTATAATCCACTCATTCAGAAATATCTTAAATTTCCAAGGGAGACATCCGAGGCTCATTTGCTTTTGCAAGGCTTCCAAGCAGGTAGGAGTAAAGGAATTCAAAGTAGTACACAGAGCAGGAGAAATTAACTTACAGATATGGATATAATTTAGGCATGCACACAGGGGATTGGCTGATTTTAAATGTACAGAATTATCTACTTCATGTTTCATAATGTCTTCTTTATTGTACTACATATGGAAATGCCAATAAAAACTATTAAGCTAAAAATACTTTATGAAAGTTGTAAAATGTTTAGTTTGCATTACACTTCAATCAAAAATTATGGCTCATTCAAAGCTCTGTTCATTGCCTCTCTCTTTGTCTAGTTCAGTTCCTGCAATACTCCCCAAAAAGTCCTGTGGGCATCTGAAAGATTGGTTCCAATATATAAATTAACAGACATTGAGGCTAAGAGGAAACCATCCCTAAGTTGTGGTATGATTGTTTTCATAATGAGAAATAGCACATATTTTATCTGTAGTGAAATTCATAATAAGAATGCAGAAATAAAAGTGTGAACTCTACTAATAAACAGGAAAAAATGTTCTGCTAAATTTTTTAAATTAGGCGAGAAGTGACAAAATATTTTCAAAATAAGTAACTCCAATGAAACATAAAAAATATATGATTTTTCAGGATACTAAGAAAACATGTTTTCTTTTTCCACAGGTAATTTTTCAAACAATATTTTCTAAATCTTTTAAATTTAGTTATCACTATATTCTTGCTCTCGGGGGGCCTACACAGCAGTTGTAAAGATAGGACAGGTCTCACATTTACTTAAAACAAGAATGAAGAGGAAGAAATTCAAAAGTAACCAGGCTTATCATAAAATGTCAAGATTACAGAATTGGGAATTTGAGAGCTAAATTCATATATTTTTTAAAAATATATTTTTGTATACCTTCTCTATAACTGTGTGACTCATGTCTTCTAGAAATATGACCATAAAAGAGTAGCAAGTGAAGAATTCCAGAACATAAGAAATTAGTTAAGGTATATTGATAAAATGTCAGCAATAGATCATTTCTTAAAACACTTATACAACATTTGATGCATATTTAAAAATAAATGAAAAAATCAAGAAATGTCAAAATATAGAGAAAAGGTCGGTTTTGCATAATCATTTGATACAATAGTGGTTTGTCTTACCTCTACTACCAGTTGCTGAAGAGATGGTGATGCTACAGGATACAGACTAGAGTTCCCCCTTATGGGACTGTGGAGGCTAATATAAGCCACAACATTTTTCTGAAGAACCTTCTTGAAATCCTGAAATAACAAAAAAAAAAGGATCTATCTGTAAGACAAATAAATAGATTCTACTTTATTAGTTAGATGTTGAATAATGAACATTTCATTTCATACTTAAAATTATTATATTGCATAATTACCTTCTTTTTTTTTTTCTTTCTTTCTTTCTTTTTTTTTTTTTTGAGACAGACTCTAGCTCTGTCACCCAGACTGGAGTGCAGTGGCGTGATCTCAGCTCACTGCAAGTTTCACCTCCCGGGTTCACGCCATTCTCCTGCCTCAGTAGCTGGGACTACAGGCGCTGGCCACCCCTCCAGCTAATTTTTTGTATTTTTAGTAGAGACAGGGTTTCACCATGTTAGCGAGGATGGTCTTGATCTCCTGACCTCGTGACCTGCCAGCCTCAGCCTCCCAAAGTGCTGGGATTATAGACGTGAGCCACCGCACCCGGCCATAATTTCTTTCTTAAAAAAGTGATCCTATACTATGTAATAGTGTACACAAAGATTATAAAAGGATTTTAAACAAGAGTGGTAAGAGTTAGATATATAATAAAATATATTAAAGCATGTTCCTGACAAAAGTCAAATTTTAAGAGAAAATGTTCTTCAAAGGTTAACACAGTATGGATTTAACTACAGAATATGAATGCAACTTAATTTTAGAGTTACTGAATAAGAGGGGAGATATAGATAAACCACTTCAGTGATGAATAAAACCAGCCCTTTACTTTTGAAGCAATGAGCTACGCTGCACAAAATAACCCTGTGTTACCAGTAAAATGGGCCATAATACAATGTAATCTTGCAAATATTACCTTAAAAAAAACCTGATGCATTTCATGCACACAAGCTACACCAAATGATTCCATATAATAGTTTTCCACTTCTCTTCTGCTCCTTACCACACAAAATTGAACACCACTGATCCTATTAAGAAGGACCACTAAGTCTTTCTGCTATTTTCCTGTTTTTTTTTGTGCAAGCATTTAACAAATAATTGTCATGGTGGCAGTTCTACAGAAATGTCCTAAAAGATTACATTATGTCATAACTTGGGAAAGTATCTTTCTTCTTCTAATACTATGAAATGGAAGACTACAAGGACTCATACACCTGCCAAATAGATAATGTCATCCTATTTTATTTTTATTTTTTTCATTGTAAATTGACAGCTTAAAATGATATAATTTTATGGAGTACAAAGTGATGTTATGATTTATGAATATAATGTGGAATAATTAAATTAAGCTGGTTAACATATTCATCACCCCAAATATGTTACATTTTTTGTGATGAGAACACATAAAATTTACTGAACAATTTTGAAATGTATCATACTCTATTACTAAGTATATTCACCATGCCACACAATATATAATAGAAGTTGACCATTTTCTCCCCGTTCCCTCCATACCCCAGGCTGAAACCACCATTCTACACTCTGTTACAGATGAATAGAAAAAGGAAATGTGTTATATATACACAATGGAATACAATTTAGCCTTGAAAAACAAGAAACTTATCTCTTTTGTGATAACATGGATGGAATTGGAGAACACTATGCTAACTAAAAGAAGCCAGGGACAGAAACATAAATACTGCATGCTTTCACTGTTATCCATATTTTATGTTGAAAATTCAGCCATACCTCTGAAAGAGGGCTGAAAAGACAATCATTTAAAATTAGTAAACATTTTAAGCGCACATAAATGATGAATTTTAAGCTTGAGTAATTTTTCCATAATATTGTTCAAAAATATCTGTTACTTAAGTGCTATGAAATATCAGCTTCTATTAGCACACTACCACATAGACACTGTCTATATGTTAGTCTATATAATTCTCATGAGACCCTCATAAGATAGGCATTAGTAGACTCATTTGAGGAATCAAGTCTTAGGGAAGTTAATCTTGCCTCAGATGACATATTCTATGGTAAAGAGAATTTGAACTATGACTTCTTTTACTCCAATATCTATAATATTTCCACAATAGCCTCTGACAAACGAGGATTCTTCACAGAAGAAATGGTACTTTTTAAAGTATAGAACCTATTTAGCAAAATGTTATAATTTTTCTCAAAGATCAAGATCAGTATTGAATCAATTCTCTAATAATTCTGTCTATAAATTCCATTGTTAAGTTTATTGACCAACATCATCTAATCCTCTTAACTACCACTGTGGGTTTCCAGAGTTTTCTATGCAAGCAAAATTAAAAGGGGCAATATGACATGTCAATAAGGGCTTTCCTCACTCCCCTTCACAGGGGAATATATTTAGAGCATAAATTAGTTTCAGTCTAACATAAACTCTTTCATTCTCAGGATTACATTTGACATGAGTAGGCAAAACAGGACAACTAGCAGTTTTCTAAATTTGTCTTCAATAGGATGTTTACAAAATGGCTTCATGAATTGCACTGAAACAATCTGGTGAGACACAGTAAATTATAAAAATACATTTTATAGGCCAATAATCAAATGTATATTATTTACCATTTTCATTACTCATATGTCTTTGCCCATCTAGTCACCTAAAATGCCAGTAAATGAATGTATAATCACTTGCTAAATGTAAATACATATATAAACATTCAGAGACATTGGTACTTAATTGTTTTGAATAGGAATAACCTTATTAACAAAATTTTTTTCCTGTGAACTCCCACATTGTAGTTGTTGTATTTTTAGCATCATTGACTAAGAAAATATACAATTATCAAAAGGTACAATGACCCCACAAAAACTTAAGAATGAATGTGTATTAACCACAAAAATATCAACTTACTTTGACAAAAACTATCGCTCACACACATGCAAGCCCACATTGATTCAACTCACAGGCTCTGATGCTTGATGCTCAACTAAACTTTTTAATAAAATTTTGCATGCATTGGGGTTTGAGATGTTTACCTTAGAAACTATTAATTTAGACAAGCCTAGTCTATTCTAAAACATAGTTCAGAAATATATATTTTAATTTAGAATTAACACAAATTAATTGTGACAGTTACTAGATAGGTATCTAGAAGACCTAAAATATAGTTTGAAATAGCAAAATACATCTTTGGAATTCGAAAAGAATCTTTAAGACATTTTAAAGATATGTGCTTTACTGTTACAGGAAAACTAAAACATTAATTTCATTGTTTCTGATGTATTAAAAATGGTATAGATTACAAACATATTCCCTAAACTGTTCTTTAACTTGTTTACCAATCTTTAAAGTAATTTGGAATATGAGTTTGAGAGGTTGGTTCAGCTATTTCATTTCCAGCTTACTTACAAAGTTGTCAACTTAAAAAGATTCTTTAAGCAATGGAATTTTTTCATTTGAAGTAATTCTTTTGAATATGGCCCAAACATTCACACCACTCATTTGCATACAGAAAAGCATTCCAATTTGCAGTGTGTGAATCTTGATGAATTTTACACTGAAAAAATTTTTTCATCTTTAAGTCTATTCTTTACTTCAAATTAAAAAAGATACTTGCTATCTTCTTTTCTATACCTTTTTAAATATTTTCTTTGATTTAATAGATATTTTATCTTTTTTGAGTGATTAAAAATAAAAATGTAGCAAAATAATTTCCTATTAAATTTTTCTCCTCAGAGCTGAAGTAGTGAAAAAACTACAGTATTAAATTATCTTGCTTTCCTAGTAAAATTATGTAGTGTTTTTGGTCTACATATGTCTATTGAACCTCTTTTTTAAAACAAATCACAAAAGTAAATAGACTTTCTATCAATCCAATTATCAGCTATCATATTCCATTAAAAATACAGTGCATTTATGAGACCCAGGTCTGTCAGAAGAGTTTGAGACTTAAATTCTCCAATATTTCAGTTGTATTCTAACTGTACCTCATTGCATGCTAGATTTCATTTGGATACAGGTTCCCTAAGGTGGTTAGGTAGGTAGGTAGGCAATAGATAGGCAGGTAGGAGACAGAAGGTAGGGAGATAAGGGTGAAAGAGTGGAGTGGTAAAAGGAGGAAAAAGTGGATTTTAAAATGTATTTTACATTCAATATCCATATTGAAGAGAGAAAATATAATGCTAAGGCAATAAACATTTAATATAGGAGACTGTTCCCTAATTCCAGATCATTCCTAGAAAGTGTAGAAAAAGAAAAATAATAAGTATCATCTGATCCTTTTTTGTCCAGTGCCTGTCATCCTGTCTTCTAAGGAGAAATACAATAATAAGGTAAACACTATTGTGTGTTAGACTGTATCAGGGTTTGTAAGTCTGGTAACAATAGGGGTAAGATATTTGAAGGTCATACGTAGTTTGCTGTGGTCTAGCTCTAATTCCATATTATTATTATAAGCCATCTCAGCAAATTAGGCAATATGACACTTGTGTTGAGAAGCACATTATTGCCCTTGGCTTTGAAAATTTTACTTTGTCTACTTTAGCAAACTAAGAAAAGAAAAGCACTGTAATTAATGTATATTTTGCTTTACCTCTCCCCATTCATATGAGCCAATATTGCCAAAAGCTGTTCCTCCCCAAGAACAGAAAACAATAGTTCGGTCTGGTCTCCACCCTCTCTTAACTTTTGACATCAAGGCACGGATAAACGCTGTGATTATTGCAGTACTACTGGCCCATTCTTGTCCATTATAACTGTGTGCAGTGTGATGATGGCTGCCAACTATGATATACCGGTCTGAAAATAGAAAGGGACAAGAGCCATTTAAAAAAATGTAAACCTTAACAATAAATTTAATGACATTTACATAATTCTATTGCACAACTGAGCAATAATTAAGCAAAATTGCTCTAATAATTAAGACTACTTTAATTTTTTTGCTCACTGTCTTAATTCACACATCTGTGTATATCAAAGCAGAGGCAGCTGCTGAACCCAATTATGAATCCAAAGCTTAGATCCATATTACTCTCCTTTAGAACATGAATATTAATTAATGAAGCATGTAAATATGCCACAGTGAAACCCTTATCTAACATTTTTCCAGACTCAGAGTGGGAAGTGCCCTGTAAACAATGTATGCATGCTCAGTAAATATTAATAAACTATTAATACATTTAAGAAGGCGCTTTAAATATTAAAAATGTGGTAGTCATGTATGGATTCTGCAATAAATTAATTCCACAGGGAATTAATTACAGCTTCCAACTTAAAATTTTAGGCCCTCTCCTTTCTGTGAAGAAAAAAAATAAAATTCACCAATATCAAAAGTCATTCAACTGTTGTAAAAGTTGCCTTTTACATATTTTATTTAATGCAATCATTCAAAATGTATTAGATACACTACTAGGAGAGCCTTCCTAACACATGGAAGTAGCTGTTCAATGTACATTACTGAATATTTTCAATAATAAGGCTGAAAATGCCCCCAGAGAGTTTCCTCTGATTTTCTTGTCAGCGAATGTTATTGGTAATAATAACATATCTGAATTTATCTGAGCAAGTATCTTCATACATCTGTGCAAAAATTTTTCTTCATTGAATATCATTTTTTTACCAGATGTCCCACAACTGGATGGTAAATTGTTCAGACCCTGAATCCAGCCTGCTTGGGTTAGAATCCAGGCTGTGCAAGTCACTAGTTGTGTGACCTTGGAAAGCTTATTTCAACTTTCGATGCCTTAGTATTTTCATCTCTAAGGTAGGAAAACAAATAGTACATCTCCATTTAGTTGTTCTGAGTTTTAGGAGTTACTGTTTGTAAGCCACTTTGAACAATGCTCAACACAAAGTAGGTCTTACACATGGGTGGAATAAATGAATCACCCTTTGACTTATAACACCAGAAAGCTACCTTACAAGAAATGCCACAGTATGAAGATATTTTAGTTTTCCACACAGGAATTGGCAATGGATTTGATCTGCCAACATTTTATTAAGGTTTAATTAATGGGCGGTGGCTCACGCCTGTAATCCCGGTATTTTGGGAGGCCGAGACAGGTGGATCACGAGGTCAGGAGTTCAAGACCAGCCTGGCCAAGATGGTGAAACCTCGTCTCTACTAAAAATACAAAAATTAGCTGGGCTTGGTGGCGGGCACCTGTAATTCCAGCTATTCGGGAGGCTGAGGCAGGGAATTGCTTGAACCTCAGAGGCGGAGGATGCAATGAGCGAAGATCGTGTCACTACATTCCAGCCCCGTGATAGAGCAAGACTCCATCTCAAAAAAAAAAAAAAAAAAAGATTTAATTCATGGTATACATAGTGTGAGAGTGTGTCTGCAAATGTTAAAAACCCAAGAATTTATTCACTTATCTCCCATAAATGTCTCAAAAGTTTTGCTTGGAATTGTCTGCATTCTAAATAAACCATATCTAAGAAACAATGCTAATTGATTATTGTTTCTAATCTTCAAAGTTATTAAATAAAATGTTATGTAAATAGTCTTTTTTTTTTTTTTTTTTGAGATAGAGTCTCGCTCTGTCGCCCAGGCTGGAGTGCAGTGGCGTGATCTCTGCTCACTGCAAGCTCCGCCTCCCGGGTTCACGCCATTCTCCTGCCTCAGCCTCCCCAGTAGCTGGGACTACAGGCGTCTGCCACCATGCCCGGCTAATTAAATAGTCAATTTTTTGTAAAATTCAAATAAGCAAAATTTGAGAAACTCTGCATATCATATACTGAAGAATACTAATGGTAAAATCGATTTTTTCAATTCCAGGAGTTTATTTTGTACAGTGAATTTTCTTCACTCTAAAGCTAGTATAATTTGTACAACTGGGTTTTCCAATAACAACTTGCGAATGTATCAGTGATAATAAATATTCTAGTGCTTCAATTGAGAACCTTATGATGGAAATTTGTTGAAATTCAATAGTAACAATTTTCAAATTTATTTATATCTTGTATTTAAAGAACTATAATCAGAGGTTGTTCAACATTGTGACTGTAAAGAAATCGGAGAAAATAACTGGCTTTCATGAACTTTGTAAGAGTTGGCCAGCAAGAAACTGGGAGGCTGTAAAACTTGATCTTAAAATTCTGAGCTAGCAACTAGGCCAATTTTACTAAAGTCATGGAAAAGAATAATTCTCCAGGGAGAACTTGCGTAAATGTCCCAAAATCAACAGAAGTAGCAAAAGTGTAATAAAAAGAGTGTTACATGCTACACTGTATAACAGGCACATTAGACAGTAATATGTGATTCAGCCTTACGATGTGTTTGGAAGTATTGCTATTAATCTCTTAATTAGCCTACATAATATCTGAAGATTTCAATTTTTTTTTTTTTTTTTGAGATGGAGTCTCTCTCTGTTGCCCAGGCTAGAGAGCAGTGGCATAATCTCAGCTAACTGCAACCTCCGCCTCCCAGATTCAAGCGATTCTCCTGTCTCAGCCTCCTGAGTAGCTGCAGGTGACCATTTTCATAAGCACATTGAAAACCTAAAGCCATGCAGACATTTGACAAATTTGGCAATGGACCAAGGATACAGAGTGGGACATAGAATAAAACTGGACAACTAAATTTGGAGACCAAAACTTTTATTTAAAAAAAAAAATCATTAAAAACTAAAATCTTTCTTAGCCAGGCATGCTGGCTCACCCCTTTAATCCCAGCACTTTGGGAGGCCAAGGCTGGTGGATCACATGAGGATAGGAGTGCAAGACCAGCCTGGCCAACATGGTGAAACCCTGTCTCTACTAAAAATACAAAATGAAAAATTAGCCGGGCTTGGTGGTGGGTGCCTGTAGTCTCAGCTACTCAAGAGGATGAGGTACAAGAATTGCTTGAACTTGGGAGGCAGAGGCTGCAGTGAGGAAAAAGAAAATCATTCTTTAAAATGTCTTCTTGATCAAAATAAAATTTTCAGTGGTGTTATGGTGAGTATAAGAAAAAAGAAAACTTTGGCTTTTTTAGAACATGCCAGTTTACCAAATCTAAACTCTGTTTCTTGTTTCATCTCCTCCTGAGAGATCCCCACCTCTCTCTCTCTCTCTCTCTCTCTCTCTCTCTCTCCCCCGACTAAGATTTATTTTAGAAGAGATACGGTAGGAAAGAGAAGGAAGACCCACTTCTTAGTTTCAAATTTATCTACTCTAAGAGTGGGACAAATTTCTAGTTATATCTCAAGTAGGATATTTAAGTATAATATTAAATTATTACAGAGCATTTCCTTGTATAGTTTCATATAAAGTGTAGATTATAAATTTTCAACCCTACTTACCTGGAGATGTCAAGCCCATTACAAATCCAACAACATTAGTAACTGTTTTCAATTTTGTGACTGTCTGAACTTGCATGCTGACGACTCTTATTTCTGAAAAAATAAAAATTTAAAGACTTTTGCTTCTTTATATTTTATTGTATTTTTTAAACCTTAAAATTTATTTTATCCAATATCATCAGCAAAAGAATTCCACAGAATTGAATGTTCTCAGATAGCCAGTTATACTTTTTCCGACAAATATTTATTCAATACTTTGTACAGATTCTATTTTAGGTGTTTGTTACGCAGTGATGACTAAGATACAATTGCTAGCCTCTTTGAACCTCAGAGCCATAAATAGACACTTCTAAACCTTACATTGAGTTCTACAATGAGTGTTCATCATGAGAGCATTGAGAAGACCTTCAGGAGATGTGGGGAACTCATATTTTTAAAAACAGAAAAAAATAGATTAAAATATTTCCAAAGAATATTGAATGCTTTTCTATTTTCAGATAAAGAACATGTGGACAATAACCTTTCCAGTATGACTCACTATTTTATTAACACTTTAAAAATGATAAATAAAGCATTATACAACATAAAAGGATAAATATTCTTAAAGCTGTACATGTTTTCATATATTAGAGTTTTTATTTCTGAGTTTGTAGGTCCCTTACCTCTATTCTAAATCTGTACTAATCGCTCTACCTTTTTGAATTTTTCTGTTTATGTTTGATATTCAAAAATTTTGCAAATAAGGCAAAGACACCAAACAGGAAGGACTCTAGTCACAGAACTGACATAGTCTCTGGAGATGAAATGTGTTAATCCCGTATTTGATGGATCCTGAGAAGTCTGGGTTGGGAAGTGGTTCACAGGATCTTTAAAGTTTTCCTTAAAGCAGAGGTTTAAGAGTAGCCAGGTGTTAGTGTCAGGGCAGAGCATGGCACATTTGAAAGCAGGTAATGCAAAGTAGCCACATTATACTGGCAGGCCTACAAATGTCACTTCTTACTGCTAGATAGAAATTGTAATAATAAATATATTACTTCTTTCCCTCAAGGTACACTTTCAAACAAATTAAATGGAAAATCCGTATACTGAATCCATTAAAATAATAACCAAAACAAAAGTAAAGAGGCCTTTAGAAAATGCCTGAGTGCCTTATCTATCTATGAGTAAATCTACGTAGAGTCTGAGCATTGTGCTTTTAATTTAGGTACTATGCATTTTCGTTTGTTTTTCAATTAATAGACTTTGTTTCTTAGAGCATTTTAGGTTTGCAAAAATACTGAGGAGAAAGTATACAGTTCCCCAATACCCTCTGTCTCCCAAGCCTCCTATTATTAACATCTTGCATTACTGTGGAACATTTGTTACCCTGATAGACCAATAATGACACATAAAGTCCATAGTTTACATTGGTATTCACTTTTTGTGTTGTATATTCAATGGGCTTTGACAATGCATAATGGTGTATATCCATCATGATAGTATCATACGGGATAGCTTCACTACTCTAAAATCCCCTGTGCACCACCTCTTCAGCCCTCCTTCCCTCCCTCTCTCCCCAGAAACCCCTGGCAGCAACCACTGATCTTTTTATTGTCTCATAGTTCTGCCTTTTCAAGATTGTCATAGCACTGGGCTCATATGTTTGTTTGTTTTGATTGTTTGTCTAATTCCCTGCTCAAGCTTTGTTCCAAACGATCCACATAAGTGAACTTTATAGACTCTTTACCTTACACCTTTCAATGATCTTTCCTGCTTATTTTAGATACAGATATAGGTGAAGAATCTTTTCTGGTTTTCTAAAATTCAATATATTTTTGTCTAAGTTAGCAGCGAGAAAACGTCACAATATGTATACTGTACTACTTACAATATTACCTTGCATTAATATAGTGATTAAAATTTACAATAACCATTTTCACACACATGCACTAATTTTTACTGGATCACATTCTTACTGGAAGTAGCTAGAGTGGTCATTGCCCAATTCCCAACAGCTGTTGGGGTGTCGTGATTAGAGGGGGGATTGAGAGGTGAAGCCAGCTGGAATTCCTGGGTCAAGTGGGGACTTGGAGAACTTTTCTGTCTAGCTAGAGGATTGTAAATGCACCAATCAGCACTCTGTAAAAATGCACCAATCAGCACTCTGGGTCTAGACAAAGGATTGTAAATGTGCCAATCAGCACTCTGTAAAAACGCACCATCAGCTCTCTGTGTCTATCTAAAGAATTGTAAATGCACCAATCAGCACTCTGTGTCTAGCTAAAGGATTGTAAATGCACCAATCAGTACTCTGTAAAAATGCACCAATCAGCACTCTGGAAAAACGCACCAATCAGCATTCTGTGTCTAGCTAAAGGATTGTAAATGCACCAATCAGCACTCTGTAAAAATGCACCAATCAGCGCTCTGTATCTAGCTAAAGAACTGTAAACCCACCAATCAGCACTCTGCAAAATGGACCAGTCAGCACTCTGTAAAATGGACCAATCAGCACTCAGTAAAATGGACCAATCAGCAGGACGTGGGTGGGGACAGATAAGGGAATAAAAGCTGGCCACACCAGCCAGGAGCAGCAACCTGCTTGGGTCACTTTCCACACTGTGGAAGCTTTATTCTTTTGCTCTTTACAATAAATATTGCTGCTGCGCACTCTTTGGGTCTGCAACACCCTGCCTCTTTGGGAACATGATCATCTCTTTTGTCCCAGTGTGGATGCTATAGTCCCACTCTAATTTTACCAAGACCCATAACTTCTGAATATGCGGCAAACAGAGTACCAACTCTTTTGCTTACTTCTCTGATTGTTGATTCTGTCTTCAGTTTTGCTTTTGTATATTTGGTTATATTTTACTTTATTTTTTGAGAGCTGCTTTTAAATTTCCTTCAGAGATCTTAAACATTTGTATGGAAGGATTTCAAATTATTTTATTCTGCTTTCTACATCTCGAGGTCTAGAACTATTTAAAAGAAGCACAGAGGTCAAAGAAAATAAACCTAATCTTTTGCTCTGAGAAGAATGCTATATTTACATTGGATCCTTCCAACTGACAGAAGGACTTCCTTATGTATCACTAGGCAAAGACTAGGTCAAAATAATGACATATTTACATAGCAAAAAGCTACTTTTCATCTCTTTATTTACATCCTCATGCATGTGCTGATCCTGATGCATATTGTTTTATATTATTCCATACTCACATCTGAAAATAAATATGCATAGAGTCTGTTTATTTTCACTAGAGTCAGCACCATGATCACATTTTAAATTTTAATAATAAATATCAGAAAGTCTTGAATAAACTTGCTCTAAAGACACACCTGCTGCTGTTGGCATTGCTAATTTGAACAATCCGTTGGTAAGGCAATATTACTCTTCATAGCAATAACAAAAGCAATCCTGTACTTAGAAATTTATCCTACAAGAATAATTCAACTCTCTGTAGTATAATCTGTAATAGCAATAACAGAAAACAACATAAACATGTGAAACAGGGAAATGACTTAGAGAATTGTGATAAAATGTGTGGCTGTTAAAAATGTAAAAAGAATATTTAGAAACATGGATATGCTGTAAGTGAAAAGAATACAGAGAGATATACGTAATGATTAAACTTAGGTAAAAACGTGTATGATTATGAACAAACTATGAAAAAGGAGAGATTAAATAGTGGAACAGAAATTGGGTTTAGCAGGCCTTCCCATATCTACTGGAGTGAGGCACTGTTGTAAAAAGTCTTGAACAAACCTGCACTCTGGGGTATGTCTCCTCCTCCAAATCCCCAGGGATGGTGGAATTAAAACCTAGAGAGATTGTCTCCTCCTAGTGTAGCACCTGTTAATATCGAACCCTTTTTCACTGTAGAAACTTTTAGAATTTTTCTCTTTGTGCTTTTTGAATTTAACTATAAAATATATACGTGTGGTTTTTTTTTCCTTTTTTTCTGGAAAAATTATTATTACTTTTTTGACCATTTTCTCTCTCCCATTTTTTCCTTCTTCTAATATTGTTTCTAGAACTCCATTTTAATCGACTGTATATTTTACTCGTACTTTTGTATTTCTCTATTTATCCTTTTCTACGCCTCTCTGGATCTAGAAGGTCAATCTGATCTTCTAGCTCTTGAATTTATTCTTCAGTTACATCTATCTATGGCTGTATCTATCTACCCACCCTATTACTATATTTCTTTCAGTTATCTTATTTTCCATACCTATTATTTCCTCTCATTTTTTAAAATGTTTTCTGATTTTTGTTTTATATTGCTAACATATTTTATTCTCTTTTTGAGTTTAACTTTAATCCTTATTTTAAGTTCTTATACCATGTGTTCCAATATGGTAACTTCGGGTGGTATATGTATTTGTTGTGCTAATTTTCTTTTATGGTGGTTGTGGACCTCAGGATCTAGTTATTTTGGCCTGTGGTCCAGCATGGTATATCAGGGCCCAAGGATGGTGGGGATAGTGTCTAGGTGTGTGTGTGGGCACATGTGTACCTCTGTGTGAGAAGGCCTGAATATGAGGAAGAAAGCAACTACCAGGGGAAATAGTGCAATGAGATAAGCCATTGAAGCAAAGTGAGAAGGCCATCTGCATTTAAGAGCTGAATAGCATATAGTGTTAGAGCCTGGGTGGAGTGAGGAAGTTAACCACATTGTGGTAGGGGCAGACAGAACATTTGATATAGAGTGAATAGCCTGTATGTACCAGTGCCTAGGGTTGGATCCATTGTGAAGGGAGTAATGGCATCAATGGATTACATGCAGAGGATCTAATTACCTAAGTAAATATATTCCATTTAATGAGAAGGCAATTTCTAACTGCTAGAGAAAAGATTTACAAACATGGAAAGATAAATAAAACTTGATATTGATATGTTCTCATGGTTTTATATATATATAATTTATTTTTATTATATTTATAAATTATAAAATTTAATATATTTTAATTATATATTATATATAAAACCAAGAGAACATATGAATTTATATTAATTTATATATTTATATATAAAACCATGAGAACATATCTATATATGTTGTTGATTGTATATATATCTATATATATCCATGAGAACATACATATATACAAAACCGTGTGTATGTGTGTGTATAACACCCATGCATATAGATTTAAAAGTAAATACAGATATAAATCTGAGTGTATAGATATATTTTTATATACTTACATACAAATGTAATATTAAAATATAACTATATTTTCCTAGTTTTGCTCACTGAGTAGTATGGAGAGAAACAACACTTCAATAGCAATAGATGAATCCAGATCTGGTTTTCTAGACACTATTCTCCACTCAAAGGACCTAGAGTCTGGAGAATTGGCTGATAACAGCTGGCACAGGAAAAGTACAAGATGATTTGGTACATCTTATGGTGCCAAAAACTAAAGAAATACCCGAAGAATAATGAGTACATGTCAAAGGACACAGAACCCAGCTGAAGTTGCTATTACTGCCTAACATTTGACAATTTGAGTATTAAGATACAAATAGTACTGGTTTATAACCTATTGAATCTATTATGAATATAAATCCTAATTAAGTAATGACTCAATACTGGCATGTGTAAATTAAAAAAATCATACCAAGAAATGAATAGAAAAAAGGAAAAATCTCTTCTTTACAGTGGAATTTCAACTAATAAGTGTAAAGATGATAAAATTACAGCTGGAAGTGGTGGCTCATGCCTGTAATCCTAAAGCTTTGGGAGGATCCCTTGAGGCCAAGAGTTTGAGACCAGCCTGAGCAACATAGCAAGATCTTGTCTCTACAAAAAAAAAAAAAAAAAATTAGCCAGACATGGTGGTGCATGCCTCTAGTCCTAGTTACTCAGAGACTGAAGCAAGAGGATCATTTGAGCCAAAGAGTTCAAGGCTGCACTTAGCTAAAATGGTGCCACTGCACTGCAGTGACAGAGTGAAACTGTCTTAAACACAAAATAAAAAAAGGAAGTTGGAAAGTCACCATTGGCATCATCATAGAAATGACTGGGCAACACGTATCAGTGAACACAAATACTAGTGGCTAAAGGTAGCAGTGGTTTGGGGCAGTATGCTACATGATTTCAAATGCTTACTGAGTATAAAAGAAAAAAATTATAAAGTAACTTCAATAGGGAGACCTGGCGGCCACCACCTTAATCAAGTGATCATAGGTAGTAGCAGCACCAGAGATGGGACAAACTGAAGCAGAGTGAGAAGGACATCTGCTTTTAAGAGCTGAGAAACATACCTTGTTAGAGCCTGAGTAGAGTAAGGAAGTTAACTACATCATGGTAGGGGCAGGTAGAACATTTGATGTAGGGTGAATAGCCCATATTAGACAGTGACGAACGTTGGATCCATAGTAATGGCATCAACTGATTACAAACAGGGGAAAAAATTGTTCCCTGGTACATGGTAATATCATGCACCAGCTCATAAAATGCAATAGGAAAAACATAGTCTCACTCTGTAGTATTACTGTTAAAGATTCAGAGCTTGAATATCCTCATGAGATAACATCAGATAGACCCAGATTGGAGGGACAATACTGTAGATAATTGGTATGGAATCTTCAAAGGTAGCAAAGCAAAGGAAGTCAAGAAAAGACAGAAACTCTTCCAGGTTGAAGGAAATGGAGGATTTGACAACTTGATGCAATACATGTGCCTAGTTTGGACCCTATTGTAATTTAGGATGTTACTGGGAAAAATGGAAAATGTTTAATTGAGTCTGTGGAATGCATGGTAGTAATGTATCAATGATTAATTTCTGATTGTGATGGTTGCATCATCTGTGTAGGAGTATGTCATTGTTTGTCAGATGATTCACTGACAAAGTCAGAGATATTCACTATGTTTGTAATTTGCTCTTGAGTAGTTAAGAAAAAATACTTTTACTATTGCAACTTTCTGTACATTTATTTCAAGATTTAAAAAAAATTCACCGTTGAAAGTTGTAATTAGAAACTCCTGGAGAACATTTAGGGGCAGTTAATTATTCAAAAAATTGCTGCGTGTGTGTGTGTGTATTGGTAGTTAAAAATTACATTTCCAGCTCACATTTACCAATTTCTGCCTTTCATGTAAAATTTGATGACAGCTTTAATTATGACATGTGAAGTTTAAAAGATTTCAAGATATAAAAATGTGTTCCACTCAGAGAACATTTGTATTCAAATAGGGTGAGGGGTGTCAGAGCTAAGAGACATGAAATAGCTGCCTCTCTCTATCCCTTAATTTCATCATGTGCAGAGAAAAATAACTGCTGCCAATTTTATGGTCCAGAGACAATTCTGTCTTGCATTTTTGTTGCAATTATTAAGAGCCAGATTAATTGGTTCCCAATCTTCTTCTTCCGTGATAACTAACAAAGCTTCATTTTCACCTGTATTGTGAATAATTATACCAAGTATCTAGAAAAAATTCCAATCTTATTCAAAGAGATTTGAAGAATAACACTTGCTGCTAACTCTGAGTCTCAATTCCAATAAGTAAGCATTTGTTAGTTTCCTAGGCATAGTTCTTCTAGAGTCTCTAAGTTTAATTGAATATTTGTCCCATTATATATACTTGAGTCCCTTTCTTGTCCACCTGGCTCTAGAAAATAACTTCTTCTAGGATTGGACTTCCAGATTGTTCTTTCATTTTCTTAATTTTCCTGATCCTCACTGTGACTAGAATCTGTTCTAGAGGCACAGTTTTGATGATTGAGATGCTGTGGTCTGCAGCTATCTTTCCTAAATGCCAACTGTTTGCCGGAAAATCTGAATATAAACTGCTTCTAGATTCTCTGCCATCATAACTTGTAAACTTTCAAGTACATATAGCTATCCCCTGATTGTCTAATACATGCGCACACATTTTCACATCCATATGTGCAAGTATTCATGTGAGCTTGCATACTTTTGGAAAAACAATTAACATTGAATTAAATCGTATTCTTTTTATTTAGTAAAATTATGTAACTAGGAAGACATTTTAAATAATACGAATATGAGAAAAAATAACTTTTACTCTCTTTGTATCCCTCAGAAATGTAAAAATTGACAATTTTTTCTCATCTGTCTACCAAACACTTCCACAAATCATAAATCATAAAATGAATCAGAAGACTAATCACCTGAAGCACTATCTTTGCTGCATATTTTCTATTTGTTCATTCACATCTATTTGCTACCCTCCATTAACCTTACCCCAGGAGAAGTACCTCTAAGAACTACATCTACCTGGTTCTTTTATTCTTTGGCTTCGGGTTTAGTTTACCCAATTGAAGGCATCAACAAGAGGCCAGCAGGTTGGGTTAAGGGAAAGACTGGAGTATTTATTTTCCAGTACCCTCCCTGGCTGTCCACTTTATGCAGTGACAACTCTGCTTGACTAAAAGCCACAGCTCTTCTCTTACAGCTAAAGTACTTGCCCGGTCCTACAACTGCTCTCTCTTCTTGCCCTTTCAGGTTTACAGTAGTAGCAATTACTAGACCTGGTTTAGAGGCAGTAGCAATGGTATCCCTTTTCTGTTTTGCTCTACCTGTCCACACCATGTGCATAAGCACTTGATTAAATTCTCTTAAATTGCACATTTTTTAGTGTATTCTTTTTTTCTTGATGCAAACCTGATTTATATGCCAATCAATCTACACAATTTTCCAAGTCCATATTTGCTGCCAGGAAATAAATGGATGGAAAGGAAGAGAAGATTTTGCTTACTAAAAATATGGTGGGCTAGGATATCAGATTAATCCACTCACTGATAATAACTTATAATGCCAAATAAAATACAAAACAAATCTTGTTAACAGCATCTAAGAATTAGCAAGAAATTAAGAACTTACTAGGTCAAAATTTAAGTTGTGATGGGAACCCAGGTAAATAAAACTACGAGGCTATCTTCAACCTAAGGGAATTTGGTAAACAAAGAGAACCCTTTAATACTGATGGCCTCGTGAGATGCAAAGGTCAGAAGACAAAGTCCTGGGCTTACCAAAACTGGGATGAAGAAGGTGGTTCTAAAAAAAGATTCTTCCTCTATAAAGTAGGAACCCTAAAGTTCTGAACTTCCCCCTCCCTCCCAAGAGACTGCAAAGAAAGTTACCTGACATTAAGCAGAGCAGGGGCATGGCATCTCTAAGAAGTTGTAATTTCTTAGATTAATTATAAAAGAATACAAAATGTATTTATAACTTCTAAATAGTAGAGAGAAAAATTTAATGGCAAACATCTAAATCTAAAGAAAAAATAAACCTCAAGGAAAACAATATGTGATTCAAAGAAGAAACCCTAATTAAGATGAAAACTATAAGCCTAAGTACATATTAATCACATTAAATGAAAGGGACCAAATGCTCCTATTAAAAGACTATCAGATTGCATTTAAATTGGAAATTATTTGCTATTAATGAGACATATATAAAGGGAAGATACAGGAAGGTTGAAAGCAAAAAATACGTAGCATAAAGATACCAATACAAACAGTGCTCCAAAATTAATACTCAAAACAAGAATTACTACACATAAGGAATGTCACTTCATGTGATAAGTGGTTCAGCTATTCCGGAAGGTATGATATATTTGAATGTATAAACACCGAAGAAATAATCTCAAAACATATAAAGTGAAAATTGACTAACTACAAGGGAAAATGGACAAATTTATATTCACAGTAGGAGATTTTAACATGAATAATATACAGAATATTTGAACAACCTGATTAAGGAACTTAGTCTAAGTGGCATGTATAGAATAGACAATTACACAGCGTACATTCATTTCAAATACTCATAGAACACTGATGATACCCTGAACCATAAAGAAAACCACAAATAATTCAATTATGAAGAGGAAACAACATATTCTAATGAAAATTCAGTTGCTTATGCTCTGCTTATGATATTCTCGGAAGAATATCATATCATAATGCCAAATAGCACACAAGTGCCAAATGCATGACAGAGTCATAAAGAGAGGCTACGTCCAACTTGAATGAAACTCTAAAGAGCTTTTGGTGGAGAATATAACACTTGCACTGAACCTTAAGAATTTAGAGGGTAATGGGCCTTTACAACTTAGAGACACAGACATGCAAG
The DNA here is from genome assembly GCF_000001405.40 of Homo sapiens. Lineage (NCBI taxonomy): Eukaryota > Metazoa > Chordata > Mammalia > Primates > Hominidae > Homo > Homo sapiens. Next base: position 126,921 of record NW_019805489.1, on the reverse strand, counting down.
ACATATTTGGATAATACTGAACAGAATAATAAGGAGAAATATTGGATACTTGCAAGGAATAGCAGAATATAGAAACACAAAGGCAGTGAGGAATCCGTGCAAGTTTTTGTTTAGTAAATGACAGTGTTGGTCCATAACATAAAAATATAAAGATAGGGTGTACGCTAATGGATTTTATCACACATATAAACTCCAAAGTTTAGTTGGAATTTCTATAATTTGTAAAAAGTGACAGGTATTTGAAAAATGATATGCTAAGAAAATAAGAAGCTGTAAAATCGTTGAGAAATATTGAAAAAGTAGAAAACACTTTTTAAAGTAATTTTGCTTCCAAGTGTACATCTCAGGTTGTCTTTAAGTCTTTTAGCAAACAAACAAAAACTCTAGACTGTACCCCAGCTGAATCATTTCTAAAATCAAAACTGTTGAGACAGAATCCTGGAAACTTGAGAAGTTCTGGGTGAATGTCAGATCTGCGTCACCTTTGGTAAGCCCAGCCTGCACTCCCCAGGAAACAGAGAATTGACTCTACTTTCTGTGGACTTTGGACAATAGGTTCCCCCCTACGCTCACTCCATTTAAGATCCCTGATGAACAGTCCTTCAAAGTGAATTCTGAAGCTCTTTTTCCTTTTGTCCAAGGACTTCCGACTGGCAGCTCATGAATGTTGATCTTTAGTTCTACGGAATACTCCGTTATCAGCTCCTACCTCAGACTCCTAGGTTCACTATGTAACTGACTGCTTGAAGACAGTTGATCTGGCATTTGTCTCCACACATATCAGTTCTTCGTAAAGAGTTCTAGCTCCCTGAATTATTCAGATAAAGAACAGCCATCATATCTATATGCATGCTATATGGAAGCTATCTGCACAAATTAAAATTTTCCCCATTTCTTTTGAATATTTTCCTCCATGTTGATTGGAAAAGCCTAATCAATATTATTAAAGCCCACTCTGCTCAAAAACAAGTTTTTAGTTTTCCCTTTCTTTTTTTTCTTTTAAGGCCTACTAAAAAATACTTAGTTTTGTTATGGCCAAAAAGGTTTGTCATTTGTTATGTTGGAACTTAAAGGAAGCTATGTCATATAAGATCATACTACTCCATTGTCTACCAAGATAAATTGATAGGTAGGTGGATAGAGGGAGAGAAAGACATAGCAAGAGAGAGAGAGAGAGAGAATCTGAAGACATTCTTTAATGAGAATAGCATAATGTACTGGATCTTCTCACATGGAGCAATTCTGAAGCTGCTCTGAACACATTGATTAGTTTCATATGTAAGAATACACAATGTTGCATTCAATTGTACTAACATTTCCTTTTAATAGAAATTTCTTGAAAAGCTAAAAGGCACCATTTGCCAATAAATATTTGTGTAACTACAACTTGTAGATAATATGTTCAATACATGCTTTTAAATTTGTACTCAAGAAATGCTAGTAATGCATTGTTTCAAGTAACTACTAACAGATTAGGAAGATAGATTTTCAAAATGCATTAGAAATACGTAAAAATTATAAACAAGATGATCGGTTAGACACTATGTCATTTTAATAATAAAAGTAATTTTCATAAAAATATAGAATTGTAAATAAGGAAATAATAGGAAATAAGGAAATAATAGCACTTGAATATCCATTTGAAGAGACATCACCCAAATTTATTTATGTAAAATTTTGTCATCACTGATAAGTTTTAAGCAACATGTAAACAATTATTTTTTCAAAATAAGTGAATCATCAAATATCTTAAAATGTTTATTTTTAACTTGATTCATTTATATTTTTCACGCTAAATTACATTAATGGATTTTAAAATTTCTTCTTCCCTTTTAATTATTATAGTCATGAATTTTAACCACAAGCTCAGATTGATATGTGAAAATTAAGCTTTCCATGTTTTGACTGAACTTCAAAGACAAATATTGACAATACGTTGAATGAATGGGTCAGGTCTACAAAGAAAAAGACCATTCAAAATGAAATGGAGTCAGTATCCAATTATCTAATCAATGCAAACAATCTATTTAAGGAGGAACTTTTTTCATGATTCTTTTTCCATTCCTTATACTTTTTTTTTTAGTTCTCGCAGCGATACAAATGCCCAGCTGTCCACTTCAATTTGCTGAGCCTATCTCATGCATGAAGGCATTTAATTCTTTTGTTTAGTTTAAGTGTTATGATTTGTATCAGTTAGATAGCTTTTAGTTGCAAGTAACCAAAAACCAAATATAAATAGGCTGAAACAAAGGAGTAATGTATTGACTCATATATACGAAAAGTTCAATAGATTTGGCTTCAGACAAGGCTTTATTTAGGGCTCTAATCATATAAATAAGGGTTTCTTTTTCTCTCTCTCTTTCTCCGTCTTTCCCCACACCTTCTCTCTATATCTATTTCTATCTTTCTCTCCCCTTTACTCATCTGACCCCTTCCTATGTTGACTTTATTTTCAGGTAGGATGCATTCCCATGGTCTTAAGATGGCTAGAGAAAGATCCCAGAGCTACATGGTTTCTTGTTCACTTTTAATGATGAAGCAAGTCATTACTTAAAGTTTGTAAACTGAGTCTTGGCCAGACTTGTACCATCCTTGAACTACACTTGCTTTCTCAACATCCATTTGCCAATTTCCCTTTCTGAACTGTTGCCAGCATTTCCCATCAACATTTTATGAGTAGCTTTGGCAATATCCCTAGAAATAGATTCTGGTTGACTCAAGCCTATTGACAGACTACATCAACTATATTATGATGATTGGTTCAAGGATAATCCAAGTCTGGACAAACAGGACCAAGACTCAATTTCTGAAATTTGAACAATGACTCACTTTAACACTAGAGGTGTTAAATGTAGTCCTTGATTTGGTAGTAGAAAAATTCTATTACATTTTTGCCTGGATTTTAGAGAATTTTGATTTAGTGTGCATAAAGGGTTAAATGGGTAAGATAAATAATTAGTGGATTCTCACACATATTCTTAATGTGCCCATTTCCAACTTGTTGAGTGAAGATTTTCTGACACTAAAGATCAGGGCTATACTTAGAAAATTTAACAATATGTTATAATTATAATATGTTTTAAATTATTTCTTTTATCCTTAAATAATAAGCATTGCTGTTATTGCTTAAAATTATAGTACCTCATTCAGTATCCTTTTCATGTTTCATCCTGATATACATCACTGTGAATAATTAATGCATTTTATAGTATCTATGAGGAAACTTAATTATCTCAGAAAAACTATGAGCATTATTGTCCAAAACATTAGGGTAAGGGGTTATAATCCTACATTAAATTCAGTTCAATGTAGGATTATATGTTAACATAGAATTATATATTTAGATTTTCCAATACTGATTTACCAGACTCAGTGAGACTGTTCAATCAGTATTTGGAAAATTTAAATGTATATTCTGTATTTTAAAAAATAAATAACTCATTATAACATGAAAGGTCTTCTCAATGATTTAAATATATCTTTTTGAATTTTAAAAAACATAACAATTTTTCTAAAAACATAACAATATCCATGAGAACAATTTCATATGTCATAATCCCTTAGAAAGTAGGCCTATCTTTCTTGCTTTAACATGGGTGTATATCTCAACTCTTCTTGTAGGCTTCATGCCTGTTGTTAATTTATTATGGAAATGCAGCTGGAGAGTGTCATCTTGCTTTGCAAGGACATTATTCTGCATATTAAGAAGAAAATTAAGGCTGGGCGTGGTGGCTCATGCCTGTAATCCCAGCACTTTGGGAGGCCGAGGTGGGCGGATCACGAGGTCAGGAAATCGAGACCATCCTGGTTAACATGGTGAGACCCCGTCTCTACTGAAAATACAAAAAATTAGCCGGGCTTGGTGGCGGGCACCTGTAGTCCCAGCTACTTGGGAGGCTGAGGCGAGAATGGTGTGAACCCGGGAGGCGGAGCTTGCAGTGAGCCGAGACTGTGCCACTGCACTGCAGTCTGGGAGACAGAGCGAGACTCTGTCTCAAAAAAAAAAAAAAAAAAAGAAGAAAATTAATGTTAGGCCAGGCACAATGGCTCATGCCTATAATCCCAGCACTTTAGGAGACAAGCAGGAGGATTGCTTGAGCCCAGGAATTTGAGACTAGCCCTGGCAACATAGTAAGATCCTGTCTCTACAACAAGATTTAAAAGTTAGCTGGGTGTAGTGTCATGTGCCTGTAGCCCTAGCTACTCGGAAGGCTGAAGCAAGAGGATCACTTGAGCCCAGGGGTTTGAGGCTGCAGTGAACCATGACCATGCCACTGCACTCCAGCCTGGGCAATAGAGTAAGACATGTCTGCATTTTTTTAAAAAAGTAGTTATTTGATAACAAAGATACTTCTTAATAGTTACATAACATTTTACAACATACAAAAAAATTAATCCAGTTATGGTGGCTCATACTTATAATCCTAGCACTTTGGGAGGCTGAGGCAGGAGGACCACTTGATCTAGGGAGCTCAAGACCAGCCTGGGCAACTTAGCGAGACCCTGTGGCTACAAAAATATATACTTTTTAAATTAGTCTAGTGTGGTGGCACACACCTGTAGTCCTAGCTACTTGGGAGGCTGAGGTAGGAGAATTGCTTCAGCTTAGGAGTTTGAGGCTGCAGTGAGCTATGATTAAGCCACTTGCACTCTAGCCCTGATGACAGAGCAAGACTTTGTCTCAAAAAATATATAACATAACATATAACACAAAAAAATTTTAAAAAAGAATTGATACACATATCATACTTTGATTCTCACAACTATTTAAGATGATAAAGTTGTAGCTATTTTTTGTAGCTGCAGACATAGAGGCTTCCAGTGGGAGGTGACATAGGGGAGGGCATGGAGCTAGCACAGAGACTGTCAGCTCCTTGAGGGCAGGACAGTGGCTGGAATGTATTGGGGGCTCTGTATTGAATTAATTAATTATTTAAATCTGGGCTTAAATATGGTCTTTTACAAGTCCAGTGCCTCTTACAACTACACTATTATTTTGGTTTACATATTTTACATTACATATTTTAACAAACAGAGCCCATAATCAATTTGTTGGGCTCAGAATAAATGGCAGAAACAAAACAAAACAAAACAGAAAGCTCCTCGAGTGCTTCTGCACTCCTGCTTTGAGGACATTGGCTTATTACTGTTTTCTAATTTTCCCACCTTGTTTAATTGGTAATCAGTTTAGAGGCTCTCAATCTACAGGATTTTGAAAAGCATATGTCCCTAACAGAGAAATCCTTAATGTATTCAGATTTTTTTGTACATATTTCTTCAACATATTTTCTTTTTTGTATGCTTTTGTTGTCAAGAGAAAAACAGTTGAGATAAAACATGACTATTGAACCCAGAGGTCTGGACACAAAAAAGAGCCCACAAGGTGTAGTTCCTAGCAAATAGATACAAATTTAACAAATTGTAAAGAGAGGCTTTTCTTTAGAACCCTAATGCTGAGGCTGGAGGCAGGAACAAGATGCAGCCCAAGGCTTTCATCCCTCCACAGGTAGCTTAACTACTTCAGTTTCATCCTACGTGGTCCAACAAGGCCTGACAAACGGCACTGCAGTACAAGAAGCATCTCTCGGGCGATGATGCGCATAGACAGAGGGATTTTTTAGTCAATTGCAGGAATTAGGCTTTAATGCTTTATACTAAAAGACTTCATACCCCAGATAGTTGCCTGCTATCCACTGAATCTTGGCAGGCAATGAGACTGCTGAAGCTGAAACCGGGAAGCTATGTTAAGCAGATTTTCATGAATGTACAAAAATGCTTTATTTATAAAGCTACTTTTCTTTGTAGCAGTTCAAAATGGTTTCTTTTTCTAATCTCTCATTTTGGTCAACTCTCAGTCTCTATCAAAATTACTTTCCAAACATGCTGCTAAAGAGCCACAGAAGAAAATAATGCTCACTTCATCAAAAGTCAATGTTTTTGAAAAGAATAATCCTACATACATCAATTTAGGAGATTAAAAATGATCATGGTCTTTAAAAAAACTGTAAAATACAGAGAACGACATTAAATACTTTACCATTATTTGGAAGCTCTAGAGAGCTACACGCTTCATTTTTGGTTCTAGCTTTTGGCGAAGAGATCAGTTTTGCAACGAGGGGTGCAGAGATGGGCTGCACTAATAGAGAGGTGAGGTTTGATCGGCTTTGTCTAAAACTTTCATCTGTATTCAAAAGACAAAGGAAGATAATCCTTAGTAAACAGAAATTTAAAACACTTAAGGAAAAGTTATCTGTAATAAGTATTTAAATTATGACTGGTAAGTTTATATTCATTCACTTGTTTATCTACTCCTTAGTTATACCCTGTTTACTTATTAACATTATTTGAGATACCTCATAAAAATTTAGTCCAAATATAATGACATATCCTAGTTAAAGATGGCAGATTGCACATATGCACTTACCTCCATTGTCCCATAAAACTCCACTAAAATGATGACAAAAGAATGAGAAAGCATAAAGGTACAGGGGCCAGGAGAATAGATAGTAATAAGATTCTAGTTGGAAAGCAGATATGTAAGTGTCAGTGATGTAAGACCTGAGGGGGAAACCTAAAACCTAAGTTCTTAGTAGGGAAGCTGAGAATGCTGTTTGTACCACCGAACAAAGAAAGGGTTAGAAATTGTCAACACCAGGTACCTATTAAAATAGGGCTGCAAAAGAGACCAGAAACAGGAGGATTTGATGAAATTCTGATTGTGAAATGGCTTGTTCTCTGGAATCCTCATGTACCCAGTCAGTGTGGGTGCCTGTTCCTTCCTCACTTCAGCAGAAAACTGAGAGTGAGAGAGTGAACAGGGAGACACCAAATACAGCGAGAAACATCACACTTTAAAGAGGATGGTGTCGACCTGGTGTGGTGGTTCATGGCTGTAATCCCAGTACTTTGGGAGGCCAAGGCGGGAGGATCACTTGAGGTCAGGATTTCAAGACTAGCCTGGCCAATAAGGTGAAACCCCGTGCATAATAAAAGTATAAAAATTAGCTGGGTATGGTGGTGCACGCCTGTAATCTTGGCTACTCAGGAGGCCGAGGCAGGAGAATAGCTTGAACTCGGGAGGCAGAGGTTGCAGTGAGTCAAGGCCATGCTACTTGCACTCCAGCCTGGGTGACAGAGTGAGACACAGTCCCCCCCGCCCCCCCCAAAAAAAGGTGTCATGATTGCCTGGACTCCTCAGATGTTTTCTCTTTTGGCATACAGAAACCTTCTCTCCAGGTAGGGTAATAGAAGGTTCACTCTTAGCAAATATGATGAGATCAATAGAAAATATCTAAAAATACCAAAAACAGGTCTATTAATAAAAGAAACAACTCACCCACAACATCCTCCATTGAAATTCATCAGTCAATAAATCCCAGTCATATACAGAACTTCAAATCAACTTAATTTTGTTATCCTTAAGTAAGAGATCTCAGCCAAGGGCAACCCTAGGCCGGCCCCTCGGCAGCAGACCTAGTGAGGATGATGGCAGGCGGTCAGCAGAGCTGGGGAGGGAGGTCTCTAGGAAGACCAGATTAGTGAGAATACCAGATGTGTGCTAACATATTGAGAGAATATTTACAGTAAGATCAGAGTGTAAGGGTTTGAAGAATGTCTAGCTATAAAGAAAAATAAGAAATCTATAAAGGGAGACAATTATTAGCTTAAAGGGACCAAAAGTTGTGCAAGAAGAAATTTAATCATTGAACAATATGTATAATATTTACATAGTCATAATAATATAAATAATGACTGTTGATTTAACACAAAAATGATCCTTTTTAGGAAAAAGGAGAAAAGGGAAAAAGGCAGTGATGTACATGAATACTTGTGAAAGTTAAGTCTCTATCTCTCAAAGTGGTAAGTCAATATAATGGATAAAACTGAAAAACAAACTCCAACACATAACCGAGCAGAAGGAAGGTAAATATAAAAGGTAAGTAGCTACTAAAGATGTTAAAAACAATTACATATTTGCCCTGGGGAGTTAAAAAGAGAGGAGAGAAGAGACACAGGGTAGAGGAGGAGAAGGTGACATTTTTATAAATTAAACCTGTAGAAATATTTGACTATTTACATGAACTAAATGCATCTATAACTTCAAAAAATAAAAAATAAAAATAAGATAAAACAGTTATAATAACACAAGTACAAAAAAGTACACGAATAGAATAGAGATAATGGAGAGAACAAACTATGCTTAAGGAAATAACGAATACTTATTCAGTTTATATATTTTTACTGACTCAGAAAAGGAAATACCCAACAGAATGACTCTATCAGGCAGCCTGTGATGTTTTCAAATGCAGTGCTATATTTTTCAGAACTTTTACTAGGGAAAATAAGTGCTAACGGTTTTTCTCAGAATTTAATTGACGGGACTTCAGAGGGCGCAGAGCTTGATGATACTGGTATCCAGGCTACAGGAGGAGGTAGATTATAAATAAGAAAATATGTTACACGAGTGTTTCCTTAATTTATCATCTGGGAGACCACAAGGCTAAAATATTATATTTGGTTTGGCCTATGGCAGCCGTGGAAGTCATGGCTTTGAAGAAAAAATAATAAAGATTTAAGCTTAGAATCCATTTTGTTATATAAGAGCAGTGCTGGCCTCATAATTTCATTGCTCCCTTATATAGATAACAGTGCATTCGGACCACAGCGTAGGTCATTATTTCCCAACAGTTTTCATATTCATGGAACCACAAGTGGCTATATAATTTGCAGGACCCACAGTGAAATGACAATGTGGGACCTCTTGTTTAAAAAGTATGAAGAATTTCCATATGGCAATAGGAGAGCATTAAATCAAGTGTGGGGCCCTTTGGAGAGGGGACTCTGTGAGACTGCACAGGTGGCATGCCAAGGTACCAGGCCCTGCATAATTTATGTAGAAGAATGCTAATAGTTGTACAACCTACTGAGGTAAACCAAAGGGGATTTTCAGACCATAGGAGGCTGCTCTCAGCCAAAAGTGATGAGCCTCAAGTCTCCTACTGCTCCAGGCTGCACTTGAGGACAAATTGATTCATGTTTCAAAGCATAGACAATGTCTGTACAAACGCTGGGATAGCCATCTGGTTTTCCCAGTATGTGTTTTCTCTCTCAGCCATTACCTTTGGAGCTTTTAATGTGCATGAGATAATGAAATAATATTGATGCACAATGTGCTGTCTATCATTTCGAAGTTTTCATGATTGCGGAAACTTCTTAAGATGCTGTATGATTGTATCTCTCCCCAGTTCAAACACCAAACTCTTTAGCTTGCCATTCAAAGCCCTTCATGATCCCAAACCTTATACTTCAATATTACTTCCTATCAGTTTTCTTCATACATCTTAAGCAAAATCTTAAGCTATACCCTTACATACTCCATGAGCCACGTCCCCCATGTTTTTGCTTAAGCCATTCCTCTTACTTCACTTGTTTTTCTCATGCATCACATGCATCTAAAGTACTCAGTTCCTTCAAAGCCCAACTTACAAGTCATCTTCTACGTGAAGCTTTCTCTGGCAACCTCAGCTCTGTGTGCTATATCTGCACCTTTTTTTTGCAATGCTTGCTATTTTCAGTTAACATTATCACTATGTAAAATCACTGTTTGTTCCCTCTGAACTATAAATTCTTGAAAGCAAGGACCAAGTCACTTATATCATTGTATGATACACAATGCCTGGCACCTTGTCAGGTACATAACGGGAGTTCAATAATTAATAGTAGAAAAAAGAATCAACAATTGTTTGAAAAATAATCTTAATGCCTATGTCTTAATGGTTTTCTGAGTCCTGCCAAAATTGAGCTGGTGTACAATTGAAGAATAAATTATAATTCTATGCTTGCTATATAGTTATGCTTTCACCCTGGCTAACTAATACTCTCCCCCAGCAGACATATTAAATAAACTTTCAAAACCCGTCTATCCCTATCAATTCGCTGATTATCCTTGCCCTAAAATTAAGTTTTGTAGATAAAAAGTCTTTAAATAAATAAAATCATCTTTAAGATATATTTATGTTAATAAAAAATCAATAACTGCATTCCATTTTTCTCTAGAATGCTCTATTAAGCTTATGAAGCAATGCATTTAAATGTTAAATATGAGTGAACCCTAAACCATAATTGAACATACCCAAATCTTTGATTTTTTTGTGCTGCATGACTGATAGACTTGCATTAGTTTTGAAATATCTAAAGTAAGTGCCTCATTAATTTTTTACCTTCAGCTTAATGGAAATTTGACACACAGTTCACTTCTGAGAGCAGATACTAAAAGCAGGACTTTACAAGACACTAAGATTAAATTATAGACAGAAGTTATTTTTAAAACAAACCTATGTCTATTGAAGAAGAGCTGAGAGAAGAGTTTTATCTTCTTACATTATTAAGAGGTTTTGAACAAAGCTAAACACATGTACTATTTTTATTCAGTGATATTTTAAAGCGTATTTATGAACTATAAGAATCCATTAGATATGAGATGAAAATTAAATGGATTATGTGCCTCGAAAGAAAGGATACCATACAAAAAAGACTGCGACACTACATTTTAGCACTTTAACTTTTAGCTTGCAGCATTTATATCATACTCTGTACCTTGTTTATGCTTCATAAAGACTGAGGGGGACCAACTTTTATTTTAGTAGCTAGCTAATTCTCTGTTCATGTTATGCACTCTTTGTAATCCAGATAAAGACTCAAACAGACCCATTACGTCAATAATTCAATCCCTGATTCAATGCTACATGTGCATAGTATAATGAGAAAATTGGATAAACAAAGTCCTAAGCCTGACTCCATCATTGACTCACTGTTTGAAATGTTACAAATAAATAATTTCACTACGATACTATTGTCATCTCTACCAAGGTGACACCAAAGTGTCTTCACTATTGAAATAAAAATAGTATATTAGTTCAGAGCCATAGAGCCAAAGTTACTGTGGGTGAAATTTAGAAGAAATTAGCATTAAAATAAGTAAGTTGTGTTCTAATTGTACATCCTTAATTCTATTTCACGCTTTTTCAAACTGTTGATGCCCACTTCAATCTCATCTGGTTGGCTGTGTAAAGAAAATATGCTCTGTTAGTAACCAGTATATATATATATACTTTATATGTGTGACAAGATGGGATACTTTTAAACCTAATTGAAAAGTCAGTGTTGGCCAGGCGTGGTGGCTCACACCTGTAATCCAAGCACTTTGAGAGGTCGAGGAGGGTGGATCACCTGAGGTCAGGAGATCGAGAACAGCCTGGCCAACATGGTGAAACCCCATCTCTACTGAAATTACAAAAATTAGCTGGGCATGGTGGCATGCGCCTGTAGTCCCAGCTACTCAGGAGGAGGCTGAGGCAGGACAATCGCTTGAATCTGGGAGGCGGAAGTTGCAGTGAGCTGAGATTGCACCACTGCACTCTAATCTGGGCAAAAGAGCGAGACTCCATCTCAAAAAAATAAAAATAAAAATAAAGAAAAGTCAGTGTATTCAAGTGCCAATTAGCCAAACAGCATCAGGGAAGATAAACCTTCAGAGATGAGAAATCTCACATGCTGAGATGAAAGCACTGAGAGGTTAGATAAGATAAAAATGTGCTGGTTAAATAAAAGAGGGGCCTGGTGTGTTTTAATGATGATGGTGAATGAGAAGAATAACACAACTTCAGAATTTAGGAGTATACACAACTCAACCCTGTGCACCTCGTGTGTGTGTGTGTGTGTGTGTGTGTGTGTGTGTGAACATGAGATCCTTGCTACTCACTCAATGTTGTACAGATCCTTCCTATTCAATGTGTAGTCCTCAGACAAGCAGCATCTGCATGAACTAGGACTTACTAGGAGTGCAGAATCCCAGGTCCCACCCCAGGTCTTCTGAATCAGAATCTATAGTCTATCAAGATCCCCAGGTGATTTGTATGCACATTAGATCAGCACTGGCGTAAATCATTACGTAGTCATCCCTTGGTACCTGCCAGCAATCGGTTCTGGGAGCCCTTGTGGATACCAAATTCTGCATATGCTCGAGTCCCTTAAATAAACTGGCCTAGTATTTTCATATAACCTATCCACATTTTCTTATATACTTTAAAGCATTTCTAAATTACTTATAATACCTAATACAATGCCTACATATCATTTAATTCACATGAATTCAACATAGTACTCATCACGGAGAAAATTCAAGTTTTGCTTTTTGGAACTTTGTGGGATTTTTTTTTCCCCAAATACTTTCAATCTGTAGTTAGTTGAATCCATGGATGTGAAACACCTGGATATGGAGAGCCAATGGTATATTTTTTATAGTGTAATTTATATAGTTTATAAAATGACTAATACATAAAAAGAAAAATGAAAAGAAAAAAAACTGTATTTGCTCACCCTCCCCCAAATTAACTATATCAGTAAACCACAAATCAACAGTTCTCAGTCTCCTTCAAAATGATTAACATGTCTCTTTATAAGCTATTTCTAAATAACAAATTTGAAATGGACATAGAGGAAGTCCTAGCCAGAGCAATCAGACAAGAGAAAGAAATAAAGGACATCCAAACTGTTAAAAAGGAAGCCAACTGTCGCCCTTTGCTGATGACATGATCATATAAGTAGGAGACCCTAAAGACTCATCCAAAAATCTCATAGAATGGGTAAATGAATTCAGCAAAGTTTCAGGATTAAAAAATAAATGTACACAAATCAGTAGCCCTGCTATACACCAACAGCAACCAAGCTGAGAATCGAATCAAGAACTCAACCCCCTTTACAATAGCTGCGAAACAAATTAAATACTTAGGAATATACTTAACCAAGGAAGTGAAAGACCTCTACAAGAAAATCTACAAAACACTACTGAAAGAAATCATCGATGACACAAACAAATGGAAACACATCCTATGATCATGGATGGGTAGAATCAATATTGTGAAAATGATCATACTGCCAAAAACAATTTACAAATTCAATGTAATTTCGATCAAAATACCACCATCATTCTTAACAGAACTAGAAAAAAAAATTCTAAAATTCATATGGAACCAAAAAGAGCCTGCATAGCCAAAGCAAGACTGAGCAAAAAGAACAAATCTGGAGGCATTACCTTACCTGACTTCAAACTATGCTATAAGGCCATAGTCACCAAAACAGCATGATACTGGTATTAAGACAGACATATAGATCAATGGAACAGAATAGAGAACCCAGAAATAAAGCCAAATACTTACAGTCAACTGATCTTCAACAAAGAAAACAAAAACGAAAAGTGGGGAAGGGCACCGTATTCAACAAATGGTGCTGGGGTAAGTGGCAAGCCACATGTAGAATAACAAAACTGGGTTCTCATCTCTCATCTTATACAAAAATCAACTCAAGACGAACCAAATTAAATCTAAGTCCTGAAACCATAAAAATTCTAGAAGATAACGTTGGGAAAAAACCCTTCTAGACACTGGCTTAGGCAAAGACTTCATGACCTAGAACCCAAAAGCAAATGTAACAAAAACAAAGATAAATAGATAGAACTTAATTAAACTAAAATGCTTCCGTACAGCAAAAGAAACAATCAGCAGAGTGAACAGACAACCCACCAAGTGGGAGAAAATCTTTGCAATCTATAGATCTAACAAAGTACGAATATCCAGAATCTACAAGGAACTCAAACAAATCATCAAAAAAAGAAAAAAAAGAAAAAAAAACCACAAACACAAGAAACACAAGAAAAACACAAACAATCCCATCAAAAAGTAGGCTAACAATATGAAAAAACATTTTTCACAAGAAGATATACAAACGGCCAATAAACATGAAAAAATGCTCAACATCACTAATGATAATGGAACTGCAAACCAAAACCACAATACGATGCCACCTGGCTTCTGCAAGAATGGCCATAATCAAAAAATTAAAAAAAAATAGATGTTGGCATGGATGTGGTGAAAAGGGAACCCTTGTACGCTGTTGGTGGGAATGTAAACTAGTACAACCACTATGGAAAACAGTATGGAGATTCCTTAAAGAACTAAAAATATATCTACCATTTTATCCAGCAACCCCACTCCTGAGTATCCACCCAGAGGAAAATAAGTAATTATAAAAAAAAAAATACTTGCACATGCATGTTTATAGCCACACAATTCACAACTGCAAAAATAAGGAACCAGCCCAAATGCCCATCAATCAATGAGGAAATATGGTATGTGTATACCACGGAATACTACTCAACAATGAAAGGAACACAATAATGGCATTTGCAGCAACCGGGATGGAATTGGAGATCATTATTCTAAGTTAAGTGACTTAGGAATGGAAAACCAAACATCATCTGTTCTCACTCATAAGTAGTAGCGAAGCTATGAGGACACAAAGGCATAAGGATCATACAGCGGACTTTGGGGACTTGAGGGAAAGGATGGGAGGGGGTGAGGGATAAAAGACTACACATTGGGTACAATGTACACTGCTTGGGTGATGGGTATACCAAAATCTCAGAAATCACCACTAAAGGACTTATTCATATAACCAAACACCACCCGTTCCCCCAAAACCTATCAAAATAAAAATAAATACATAAATACATAAATAAATGAATAATCAGATGGTCAGAGAGCACTTGGTTTTGTTTTTGTCTTTTACTCAAAAATAAACTTGGTGGTGCAAGGATAAAAATTGCATTTATAACACTTTATTTCAGCCATGATTAAATATTACAATAGCTAAGTGACTTGACTTACATTTTTCATTTCTTGGTTTTTAACTATTATAATTTATTATAATAAAAGACTGACAAACTAAAAGTATTAATACTGTGGACTTACCAGAGAACCAAACAATCAGAGCTGAAAAAAACTGAGATTTTAAAACACATTTTCTGCTGCACTTTTATGAAAATGACCCAAACATCAATTGAACAAACTGATACCAGTGATGTTATCCTGGAATATTTTATTTGACTTTCTCCAGAGGGCTGCCACTTTGACAGAAATCAGACCATTAAATAACTGGCACAAATGTTTTTTCATTTTTATTTTAGCTCACTAAATTTACAATTATTTTTCTGAAATGACCAGTACACTAAATTGGTTAGTCATTTTGTTGTCCTTGTGAATACAGCTGATCCTTTATTATTTCAGTATCTTACAGCCCACTGTTATAAATATTACCATTTTCTATCAAGCCTAGTCAACGTCAGCAAAGTATTGTTTAGATTATTATTTAAAATGGAAACGTACTTTAAAAATGCTTTGTGCTATGCATTATTCTCAGAATAAAAGGAAGGGGATCAGTGACAATTTTCTGATGAATTAATTACTGAAGTTTAAATGAATAGTTTTGTTTTGTCTAATTGTAAGCCTAAAATTCATGATTCACGATATAAAATTTGAAACCACGAAATTGTAAAAATAAAGACATAGATGTTCACATCTTCTCATTTCATTGGTCCACCCCTAAGCAAAAACATCTTGCTATGCTCCCTAGTAAATATCATAATGCTTTAATACTTAACTAATGTGTCATAACAACAGTTATATTTATATTTACATTAAAGGGAGTGGAAAGCAATATTCCCATTTGTAAAGCAAAATATGCATTCTGATACTAAAAGAATATATAGATTATGCAGAGTATAATTTTACTTTTTAAAAAGTACTACACATTGATCTATATCTCTGTTTTGGTACCAGTACCATGCTGTTTTGGTTACTGTAGCCTTGTAGTATAGTTTGAAGTCAGGTAGTGTGATGCCTCCAGCTTTGTTCTTTTGGCTTAGGATTGACTTGGCAATGCGGGCTCCTTTTTGGTTCCATATGAACTTTAAAGTAGTTTTTTCCAATTCTGTGAAGAAAGTCATTGGTAGCTTGATGGGGATGGCATTGAATCTGTAAATTACCTTGGGCAGTATGGCCATTTTCACGATATTGATTCTTCCTACCCATGAGCATGGAATGTTCTTCCATTTGTTTGTATCCTCTTTTATTTCCTTGAGCAGTGGTTTGTAGTTCTCCTTGAAGAGGTCCTTCACATCCCTTGTAAGTTGGATTCCTAGGTATTTTATTCTCTTGGAAGCAATTGTGAATGGGAGTTCACTCATGATTTGGCTCTCTGTTTGTCTGTTGTTGGTGTATAAGAATGCTTGTGATTTTTGTACATTGATTTTGTATCCTGAGACTTTGCTGAAGTTGCTTATCAGCTTAAGGAGATTTTGGGCTGAGACAATGGGGTTTTCTAGATATACACTCAGAAATAACGCCACATACCTACAACTATCTGATCTTTGACAAACCTGAGAAAAACAAGCAATGGGGAAAGGATTCCCTATTTAATAAATGGTGCTGGGAAAACTGGCTAGCCATATGTAGGAAGCTGAAACTGGATCCCTTCCTTACACCTTATACAAAAATCAATTCAAGATGGATTAAAGATTTAAACGTTAGACCTAAAACCATAAAAACCCTAGAAGAAAACCTAGGCATTACCATTCAGGACATAGGCATGGGCAAGGACTTCATGTCCAAAACACCAAAAGCAATGGCAACAAAAGCCAAAATTGACAAATGGGATCTAATTAAACTAAAGAGCTTCTGCACAGCAAAAGAAACTACCATCAGAGTGAACAGGCAACCTACAAAATGGGAGAAAATTTTCGCAACCTACTCATCTGACAAAGGGCTAATATCCAGAATCTACAATGAACTCAAACAAATTTACAAGAAAAAACAAACAACCCCATCAAAAAGTGGGCGAAGGACATGAACAGACACTTCTCAAAAGAAGACATTTATGCAGCCAAAACACACATGAAAAAATGCTCATCATCACTGGCCATCAGAGAAATGCAAATCAAAACCACTATAAGATACCATCTCACACCAGTTAGAATGGCAATCATTAAAAAGTCAGGAAACAACAGGTGCTGGAGAGGATGTGGAGAAATAGGAACACTTTTACACTGTTGATGGGACTGTAAACTAGTTCAACCATTGTGGAAGTCAGTGTGGCGATTCCTCAGGGATCTAGAACTAGAAATACCATTTGACCCAGCCATCCCATTAGTGGGTATATACCCAAAAGACCATAAATCATGCTGCTATAAAGACGCATGCACACGTATGTTTATTGCGGCATTATTCACAATAGCAAAGACTTGGAACCAACCCAAATGTCCAACAATGATAGACTGGATTAAGAAAATGTGGCACATATACACCATGGAATACTATGCAGCCATAAAAAATGATGAGTTCATGTCCTTTGTAGGGACATGGATGAAATTGGAAATCATCATTCTCAGTAAACTATCGCAAGATCAAAAAACCAAACACCGCATATTCTCACTCATAGGTGGGAATTGAACAATGAGATCACATGGACACAGGAAGGGGAATATCACACTCTGGGGACTGTGGTGGGGTGGGGGGAGGGGGGAGGGATAGCATTGGGAGATATACCTAATGCTAGATGACGAGTTAGTGGGTGCAGGGCACCAGCATGGCACATGTATACATATGTAACTAACCTGCACAATGTGCACATGTACCCTAAAACTTAAAGTATAAAAAAAAAAAAAAGTACTACACAGGTAAAGTCTTTGTTAATATTAATTTGGGTCTTCCTTTCCAATTAGCTTATCCATAGGTACGGATCATCAGTAGGAAACAGGCTCAAAAAAGGTTAGAAAACTTTCCCCATGATTAAAAATATTTTTCTTTTATGTTTAGACATATAAACTCAAGATTTATATTGGTTAGGTACAATTATTTGGGGACAAAGGACTATAATATATGAGTTACCATCATTCTCTTCCCTCCAACAAATATGCTTAAATATGTATAAAATTTTGGCTATGCAGTTTTGGAGTTTGTGCTAAACTTGACAGTCAATTAAAGGATAATTTTTATTATTATGTTAAAATGTTTTGATTAATGTGTAGTTAAGCAGGTGTTAAACTAGATTTTGGCCATTATACAAGACATAAGCATGGTACTTAATTATATGTTAGTTGAAATCTAGTCTGTCCTATAATTGAATTGATTATATTTACAGAATTATGAGAATATATTTTCAAACTTACTTTAAATGGTTTCTATTGCTTTAGTACATATTGATATAGTCACATCGAAACAAAGAACAATCCTGTATTTTCAAGTGGATGATGGTCATTAACGTGTTCTTTAAAGACATTTTGTAACCTGAACTTTCTACCCAAGAAACAAGACTTTCTCTGGTAAAGGGTTTTATCTTGCTAAGTTTATATTAATAAATTTGTCATTTTCAGTGAAAATTAAGATTTATAGCAGCAGTGGTAATATTTAGATACTGATAAATATTTTTTAAATCTATTTCAGAGAAAAAATTGTATATATGATAATTAATTCCCTACTCCACATAATTCTAAACATTTCTATTCTTTGGTATTCCTCATTTGTCTACTCCAAGACTATTTTATCCCCTAAAGCATTCTAAAAACATGAACATTTGGAAACAACCATAAACTATATCATAAGAAAAACAAACTAAGAGACAGATAAAATATCTAGTTTGTTCTTTACTTTGAGGAGAGTAGTCTAGATTCATAACTGGAATAATTGGCCATCTGCACATTACATGTAATATAAGCTAAGTAAACTGCTTCAGAGGCATTCCCCTGAGAAGCTTTCCATCTCTTACTTGAAGGGTATAAACATTGGAATGATTTGCAAAATTTCTAGCCTTGAAAAAAGACTAGTTTACATTTTTAACAGATAGCAAATAAACTATGAATGTGTTTTGTTCTTGTTGTTGTTATAAAAGTATGCAACCATTAATTCTTCATACCAGATCATAAGCACACATTATTTTATGAGACTGATTAAATGAACAGACAGAAGCTCAGTACTTTATTTCCAGATCTACTTATTTTTTAGATAATAAAAATGGAAAATAATTAACCCCTGCTTCCCTGATATAGATGTTGCTAGAATAAATGAGCTAGCATATATGAAGTACTTCTCAGATCTTTGCAGTTTCCTGTTTTTGACGTGGAAATATTGACACAAGAAAAGAAGACTGGCCTGGGGTTCGGAGACCAGTATCTGGCCTTTGCTTCACCTCTAATTAGGAAGTGACTCTGGGATAGTTTTCCACATCTTCTGAGTTCTTAAACGCATCATATATACAGCATTTTCTTGACATTAATTTAATAGAAATCTTTCCATTTTCATGTTGAAAGAGGCTCTTTGTAGTTACATGCATACATCTAAATTTGAGGTGAATGTCTTACTATTATTACAGAAATGCCCCTCATGTTTGAAATGGATAGTGTAAAAGATTTCAATATATTCCCTTCCTGGTTTCTTACAATATTATTAAAATTAATTTTTGCTCTTAGTCACATGTAGAACTGTGACCTGATTACCACTCGTTTCTTGCTGTAGTGATGGTATATAGTGAGAGAAGATACACTTGGAAGAAAAAATATTGGTATTCTAAAACACTTGCCATGGGAAAAATTCCCTTGGTTAATGAGACACAGATTCATCATTTCATCATTGAAAAGTGTCTCTACAGAGAACTCCAGTCAGAAATATTCTATTAATTCTTCCTCTGAATTTATATATATGAGAATTTTCTTACATAAAAGTTCTATAATGTGGTGAATGTAATTTGGTAAGTTGTTTTGGATGTACATTTCTTCGAAGTACTTTATGAAATGGAACCCAAATTCACATCCAAAAGAGAAAAAAAAAGGCTAGGGATAAAAGTCTAAGGTAATGCTTTGCCTACTTTCTTATAAGGTAATATTTTTCAGTGTATCAAAAGGTTATTTTACTTAGTAATGAGTTTTCTTTGAAGTCACAGCGAAGGCCATAGTGGCACAGTTAGAGACATGGCTGTGCTTAGTATAGCGCTAATGGTCCTGTTAATAAGCTAGGGTGTTCTTAAGGGATAGGAATGGTATCTTTGTTAGTTCCCGTGTGCAGGACTTCAAATAGCCCTATGCACAGTCATCTTTTAAAAGCATTTCCATGATAATGGAGCTTGAACAAAAGTCTAGATTATTCACATTGCTCAAAATGTTCTTTTTCAGCTCCTTCATTTAATCTTCTTCACAACCCAATGATGTTATATTACGCCAGTGCTACATTTAAAGAATGTTTTGTGTCATTCTTAGTCAACACTGTGAATGTTTCTTAGATGAGGTAGGAAATGAGTGGGATGTTACTGGAAAAGAAAAAGAGTCCAAGAAGTTATTCCAGAGCAAGAACAGGTTCCTGTCTGGCAGCTCTATTTGATTGTATATTTGTGGCTTGGGATGGAAACAGGGAGCAAACCAGAAGAGCTGGGAGACGACTGGAAAATGCAAACATACAGCTTCATGACTGCAACTATTTAATGAATGAAAGAGATAAAGTAGCCGGAAAATCCCAGGTCTTGGACCAGGAAATGTGAAATGAACCAGCAAAGATGCTTCAGCAGGCCTGAAGAGACTGGGAACACCAGATGAAAGAGAACAGGTACCTGTAAAGAGCAGTGATACAGTCAGAGGAAACAATAAAAGTAAGTTGCTGATGAATAGCTATCAGAACACATTCCCATGAATGCTGAGTGGTCAGCATGTCAAAGTCCGGCTCCATTGAGCAAGATTTTTGTCTCTTCATGGGAAAATAAGAAGTGCTTTTAAAGTAGTGGCTAGAGCCCTAAAAAACAATTAATAGAACTCTTCTCATTAGCTACATCTGGCATAGAATGAGCCTGGCTTTGACAGGGTTTTTCCATATATGTTTCGAACTCTACAGAAAATGACTGTAGGGGAGCTGATTCCAGGCAAAAGAATCAACATGATTAAATGAGCTGTGGGAGGAAAATAAGGCTGTGAAAAGGGAATGGCAAGGAGCCAAGGTTAACCGGAGATGACTACATATGGTGTTGATTAAGACTAAAATTATAGAGTCTTTATTATGGTGGGTTTTATATATTAAATTAAGAAAACTGAGTAAGTACTGGGAGATTTTTATGGAGTTTTAAGAAGATAATTAGTACCATCAAAGGGGATTTTAGAAGTTTTGATTTGAGAATGATATGCAGAAGGAAGAGAACTGGAAAAATTCTGTTTCACAATGTATTGTATTCACAAGGAAAACAGTAAAAATAGATCCCATTTGTACCAGGTGCAGAGCTTGATACTTGGCATATATTGTCTCATTCCATTTTTACACTTTATATATGAGGGTCCAACTTTTCAAACTAGTTATTGTTATCTTCTTGTGATAGAAATAACTCTAAAGCTCAGAAATAATGTAATGCTAAGAGTCATATGGCTGGTAAGCTATGCAGGTGAGATCAGAGTCTACTTCTTTTAGCTTTCAAAATTAAAATTCTGATGTCATTACTGTTAAAAGCTATTTTTTTTTCTCAACAAGAAGTAATAGCTGCATGAATTAGGATGTCTCGACACAGAAAGGTAAAGATCCATGTGAAAAGTCTGGGAAAGGAGAATGGTCACAACTTGGCAACCCACTGAACAGAGTAGTGGCAATGAGGTAATTAAGAGAGAAGGCAATTAAGGTTTCAGTCCTGGATGAGTATAAGAATAAAAGTCCTATTAATCACACGGATTCAGTAGGAAGACTTGCCTGAAGGGAAAGAAGAGTCAGAATATTTTAAATAATTATATTTAGTATTTGGCTTCATCAGACAAGTATTACTATAAAGCCTATAAATAAAGTAAAATATCCTGACCTGTTCACACAGAACACTTCTGCATACAAAGAACTTTTGACTTTCACTGCTTGGTCATAGTCCACACGTTACTGTGAATCCCATTGGCTGTTTTTGGAACGCTTTGCAAATGCCTGCACGCCGACATTCCTTAAACTGGAGTTTCCCAGGCCATAAAGTGAGAATAAAAGCTGCCTAATACTTAGCTCATAGCAAAGCTTGAGGATGAATGAGAATGCTTATAAAGTGCCTTTAGCTCCACAGAAGAATAGGTACAATATAAATGAGTCACATTACGCCAGTGACAAATACTATCCATAAACTGTCCAATAGAACTAAACAAACAAACAAACAAACAAACAAAAAATCTCTATTGCTCCTTCTGATACTGCATATTGTCCTGCTACTGCTTTTTTAATTCTTTTGAGGTTCCCATGAGGAAAGAAAATTGACATTTCTGCAGTATGCCCAACTCGTGAAGTGTACAGAGATACACAAATCAAACAGATCATAGGACAGGCTTTGCTCACTTTCTCACAGTATGTTTGCCGTGAAATGAAACAAAAGAAGTGACACATTTGCAAGGTTGCTTCGAAGAAAATATTAATCATATGAAAGCAAGATGGCTATTTTTAGAAAGTGTGCTGTTAAAGTTGAATCCATTTTTCAGTACAAAAGACATCAACTATTTTCTGAAGGCATTCAGGACTTATTTGAACTTTTCAAAGATTTCAAAATTATCTCAAGTTTCAATAAAAATATCAATGAGATGCTAGATTTAAAAGATTCAGCATTATACCTATATCACCTATATACTGATCTAAGGCTGATATTAAAATTAAGTGGTTATCCATAAGCAACAGGAAATTATAAAACATTAACTAATGTCAAACTAATGACATAGCATTATATAAAGACTCAATAGTCTAAATCTGCATTATAGTTATCAATAAACAATGTCCAGACTTTTTAGATATAGTGTGAGAATAAACATTTATAGATAGACTTCTGTGCTACTCTCAGATATTTAGCAATTTATTGAGGCAGGAAAAACTGAGAGAAGAAATAATAACGTGTAGAGACACAAAGTTAGACTTATTCAGTGAATCTGCCTCTGGATAACAGAGATGTAAGTAAGATGTAAATATGAAGATAACATCAGCCCATCCTACTGATTTTAGCTGGAAGACAAACTAGAGTTATATAATTTAGTTAATAATATGAAAGAAAATGCCAACAAAAAGATGAAATATTCCCTTTAATAATAAGATTGGAATCCCAAAGTTGTGTACTGAATACTTACAATTAGGGTATATTTCAAAATAATGCCATAGAGAATCTTTAAATCTTCATTGCTTTCAAGTTTCCAAATTAACACACATATATAGGTTAACAATCATGTATATATGTATATGTATGTATACACATATGCGTATATAACTTAAAGAAGAACTTTATAATTTTTATAAAATATGCAGGTTAATTACTATAAAATGGTAGAATTTAGAATGGTAGTTCTCAATGCATAATTTAACGGCCAAAGAATATAAAATCAGAATATTAAAGATGAAAGGATCCACAGAATAATAATCACTGTTTCTCTTTGGAGGATGGCAGGGAATTTTATTAATTTTTAATTATCTAAGTAAAATACATAAAGCTGTTCTTATTATAAAAACAAGAACATTGAAGTTAAGCTAAAGACCATTTTGGCCATGCCCCACATTTTGTTTCCCTGTACTACCAAGAGGCACTCTCACCAATATAGTGTCTCCTAAATTTCATATTATTTTAATGCATAGAAAAATTTAAAATAATTGTATAATGTTATTATTATACTTTCTTTTACTTAAATATTTTCATACATATTACCCTGTGACATTTCTTTTTCACTCTGTAAGGAAGGCTTAAAGACCTCTTTATTTAAGTTTGCAGATGTTATTCTTTTATTATTCTTTGTGGATGTTGCATAGTATTCCATAATTCTAATAGTATTCTAATATACTTAGACGAATCTAAATTTTGCTATTGTAATAAAAACCTCCATGAATTTTGTTGCATGTACATCAACTTGCATATGTGCGAAGGTTTCCATAAGGCTGCTATGGAAAAATGGATTTGGGGTCAGAAAATATGCAAATTTTAAATTTTTATATATGCCAATGAATTGTACTCAAAAGTGGCTGCACCTGATTTTTCCTCTCGTTAGCACTATAGGATAGGACACATATTCCTATCCTCCAGAAACCTTCTAAGCAAAGGAAACTACATATGTAAAGGCCTTGAATTAAGAAACAGTATAGTGTACCAGAGGAAACAAAAGAGGTCATATGACTGGAGTGGTGCAAAAGAAAGTCAAAGAATTCATATACAGCATTTATAGCATGAAACATATCTTGTCTTTAAGAGCAAGGTAATCAGTTAGGTTTTCCTGCTCTCCCCAGGGCGTATCTGAAAAATTGAGAAATTAAAAAAATACAGAAATGCATAAAGAAGGAATATGTATATATATGTGTGTGTGTGTGTGTGTGTGTGTGTGTGTGTGTACATATATATATTACTATAGTCCAGAATTAACAGAATTTATGTTAACATTTTAATATATACTTTTATTCTAAAACAACACAATACAGATAAAGTTAGAGTCTTGTTTACTCCCTGCAGAACTACTGCCCTCCCTCCATCCCTCTCCAGAAAAAACCAATATCATTCATTTGGTTTCTTAAGCCCTTTTACTTCATACTCTGTATTTTAATATGTAACCACAAGCAATCAAAACTGTTAGGTTCTAAAACATGCTGAGTAAGGAACAAGCCAGATAAAAATAGATATACATAGTGTGCTATCATTTATATAATCTTAAAAATCAACAAGAGCAAACACTACAAGTTTTACACAGATGGCATGATCAGATTTAGGGTTTTGAAAGCTTGTTTAT
Source organism: Homo sapiens (assembly GCF_000001405.40). Lineage (NCBI taxonomy): Eukaryota > Metazoa > Chordata > Mammalia > Primates > Hominidae > Homo > Homo sapiens. The sequence goes on along the minus strand of NW_019805489.1, from coordinate 102,296 downwards.
GATATATCAGAGAATGGATTGGAAGCTTTAAAAGAGGATGCAATGAGATGAGTTAGGAGGCAGCTATAGTTGTCCCAGTGAGAATTAAAGTTGGCTTTGCTCATGGTGGAGACAAGTGAGATAGAAAAAAATGGAAAGAATTGAGACTTAGGAGCCAGAATGAAGAAGACAGATTGAAAAGATGCAGGAATTGAGACAGAAGCAGGAGTCTAGTAAACTTCTAGATTGAGAGTGCCAGGAAAATTCTCCACACACTCCACATGCTTAGGTCACCCTGGGCTGAACTTCTCAACCTCATCCTCCAACTAGCCACTCAGATTTCTCACCTAAGCTGAAAAAATGTCCTGTCTGCTGGACAACAAACAGGAGTAGGTGATTCGGTGACTATTTTGTTATAAAGTGGAATGAAGTCTGAAATCTTTGAGAAATATATTACAGTCAGTAAACAATTCCTTCATTTCAGCATTATGTACCAAAGGAGTTTCGTTTTCTTCAAAAAAACTTATTGAGTACTTCCCATTTTCTAGCTATCTGTTAAAGGTACAGTAGTGAACACTACTGTACAGAAGTCAAGGTACAGAAGTCAAGCTGTATGCCATCAAGTACTCAGGTAGTTTTTTTATAAATATAAGATACAAAAACAAGTTTGAACATTTGGGGGTTGCTAGAAATGATCAATATCTAAATCTGGGGAATGATGACACAGCTGTAAAGATGAAACAGTGATCTTTATGATTTAGATTAGTGCCATTTATGTTCTTAATTGAGTACATGGTTTCAAAAAAAGGTGAAGATTACATTAAAAAAGAAATGTTCTGTATTAACACAGATGAACAGTTAATATGCAAAAGAAACAGGCATTATATGTCAACGTTTCTACAACTTCCAATCCACAAGAATTTAAATAATATGTTACAAGGGTATGATTCCAGCAGCATGAAGAACCTTAAGCAACATTTGGGTATGGATGAAAGTAAATTGAATTACTTTATTGTATTCCTACCTTAGAGGAGAAGTATAAAAATATGCAAATTTTAAAAATATGCCTATTGGAAAAGGCCAATGAAGTGTCAGTCATCTAGTCTAGAAAACAAGAAATGTAATATTTTTAAGAGAATGAAATTTACATTTGATGATGGCTATTCAGAGAGAAACAAAAACATTTCAAGTTATGAATTCCAACTAAATTATTAGCTGCCATTGTTGTAAAATCTTATTTGTGTTATCCAGAAAATTTGGCAAAATGTTGTATAATATTCTTAGCTAAATTTTTAACATATATGTGAAATATGCATCTGCCTTTGATCAGCAATTATTACTGTATATAACGTGAATCATTTAATAATTGTATAATTGTTTCAGAAAGAATGTAGAAAAATATATTCATTTAAATGTTTTGAACTTTTTTCATGTTCTATTTCCATAAGTGTAGGGATTTAAGCTGCTTAATTGCTGGAAGTACAAATGCCTTTGCAATATGCAATATGAGAAACTACCCCCCAAATCTACTAGAAATATTCTGATTCTTTCATCTATTCCTTTCTTCTGTTGTAAATTGTTAAAAACAGGCTTTCAGAGGGTTTTCAAGGTTGATTCAGTAGTTTGATTCTTTCTGAGTCCTAAGTCCTAAAAAGTAACTAAAGAACAGCATATATTCAAGAAATAACCTAACCGGTCACACTTTTTGTTGAGTCATAAGCCTTAGGCTACCAGAAGTGAAGTCTTTTGCTCTGAAGTATCTACCAGAGTTAAAATTAGTCTAGCAAAATCTTTCAAAAATGATTACCTACAGAAACTCATTACGTATGTGAACAGTCATCATGAGGTTGCTCAGGTTGCTTAGTCAGCACATTCTGTTTCCGGTCATCACAAAGTGAAGAATGGAATTGTGCATCCTACAAATACAGCACTCTCTCTGACACCATAATTATCAGCTACGAGCTGCATAGCTGCCGTTAGAAATAGGCAGCTGCTGATCAGCTAATCCTATATTTTTAAAATAGCAAACGAGATAAAGCTGTGAAGTTGAGTACAAAAATGCTGTTTGGCGGCAAAAATAATAAATACATGTTTATTATATTAGAATTTTTGGATACTGAACTTTGCATATGAGAAAGGATAAGGTTGGAATATGGTTTTATCATAGCAAGAGTTGGATTACTTTGCAGTGGCAACTGAGATTCAAACGTTGAATTGCCATAAATACTGTTAACACTACATACCTGTGCATACCCTTGCAGACACATTAAGTCATATTCACTTATAGTCTGGTATGTGAGTGTGTGGCATTGATTCTATATAGAAATAGAAAGGACATGAGAAAAAGGAATTCATAAACAACCTTGCCTTTAAGTGGACCTTACTTATAAATACATAACAATGATACAACGTAAGTCATTTTTGTTTTGCTTTGTTTTGTTTTGAGATAGAGTCTCACTCTGTCGCTCAGGCAGGAGTGCAGTGGCCAAATTGTGGCTCACTGCAAACTCCACCTCCTGGGTTCAAGTGATTCTCCTGCCTCGGCCTCCCAAGTAGCTGGGATTAGAGGCACCTGCCACCACGTCCAGCGAATTTTTGTATTTTTAGTAGAGACAGGTTTCAATACGCTGGCCAGACTGGTCTCGAACTCTTGACCTTAAGTGATCCGCCCGCCTTGGCCTCCCAAAGTGCTGGGATTACAGGCATGAGCCACTGCACCCGGCCATAAGTCATTGCTGATCCACAATATTTTTCACCTGGCCACTGAATATCAGAAGTAGCATTTCAGTTCTCTCTGACAGACTCCATGATTACTTGTACTCTACAAAATAAAAATCTGAGGTTGTCAACCCCCAAGTACTTTTTATCAATTATATCTTTCTCAGTATTTATCACCACCTAGAACTCTTATTTCCTCAGCTGAAAAACAAGGGGATACATTAGAGGATTACTTAAATATATTTATATTCTAACAAATATAGTACTTTGAGTATCTCCACATATTTAGCCACAACACAGATGATCCTAGGTCTTTCTTTTGTTTTCAATGTAGGATAAAATTATCTAGGAAACAGTGGAAAATGTTATTACTCTTTACAAAATAGAAGTCACACTTTGTTACATGACGTAATTTTACCAAATACTATCTAAATTCTTTTACTCTCTTATCTTATAGATACAAACAGAAATGGTAACCAGAGGCCACAGACTCCAATCCCCTTAATGACCAATGAGATTAGTGTTCATGTTTACCTCAGCTATAGTATTAAAAAAAATACATCTAAATTTATGGCAGATGTTTGTCCTGGGTAAACCTATTATTTTCCATTAATAGAAATATATTGTATTTTCATGATGAATAAAGTGTTTCATTTTTAATTGTATTTTATAACTTCAGAAAGCAATGCTGCTTGATGGTAGCAGGAGGAGTGAGGAGCCAGGATCAGTAGAAAGGGCATAAGGTTAACAAAATTTCCTATTAAAATAGAGCATCTTGAGCATATAGGATTTACAGGAGATCACTTTTACACATATACCTCTATTTGTATGTCCTACAGAACCTCACGTTACATATTTGAGCTTATTTTCCTGCTTCACTTCTCCCCATGCTTCTCCTCTACTCCTCTACTGATACCGTATTTGTGAATGGTTCCACAATGCTCTTAGCAGAAGTCTAAGGCAGAAAATTCCATATCATCATTTGATCTGTGACTTTCCCTCATACTTAATATCCCACCAATCTCCAAGTTCAATAGATTTTACTTTCTAAATATTTCTTGAATTTAAACAGTTTTCTTTATCCTCACCTCCCTACAGTAGTTGAATTCACCACCATGTATTGGCTGTATAGTACGTAAGAGTCTCCAAATTCCAGGTTGCAGAAGAATTATTTACCTCAGGTGTCTATTTAAAATTGCAAGCTTTCTCTTAAATCATAAGTGAAGGAATATGGTGTTATTATATGCCACCCAGATATTTATGTGGCAGTGCTTGGCCTTTCTACACTGTTCTGCAATTAAGACTATGAGGGCACATAAAAATTAAAAATAAGAAAAATAAATTCCCAAAAGAACAAAGCCGGAGGCATCACGCTACCTGACTTCAAACCATCCTACAAGGCTACAGTAACAAAAACACCATGGTACTGGTACCAAAACAGAGATATAGACCAATGATATAGAACAGATATAGAACAGAACAGAGCCCTCAGAAATAATGCTGCATATCTACAACTATATGAACTATATGATCTTTGACAAACCTGACAAAAACAAGAAATGGGGAAAGGATTCTCTATTTAATAAATGGTGCTGGGAAAACTGGCTAGCCATATGTAGAAAGCTGAAACTGGATCCCTTCCTTACACCTTATACAAAAATTAATTCAAGATGGATTAAAGACTTACATGTTAGACCTAAAACCATAAAAACCCTAGAAGAAAACCTAGGCAATACCATTCAGGACATAGGCACAGGCAAGGACTTCATGTCTAAAACACCAAAAACAATGACAACAAAAGCCAAAATTGACAAATGGGATCTAATTAAGCTAAAGAGCTTCTGCACAGCAAAAGAAACTACCATTAGAGTGAACAGGCAACCTACAGAATGGGACAAAATTTTTGCATCTGACAAAGGGCTAATATCCAGAATCTACAATGAACTCAAACAAATTTACAAGAAAAAAATCAAACAACCCCATCAACAAGTGGGCGAAGGATATGAACAGACACTTCTCAAAAGAAGACATTTATGCAGCCAAAAGGCACATGAAAAAATGCTCATCATCACTGGCCGTCAGAGAAATGCAAATCAAAACCACAATGAGATGCCATCTCACACCAGTTAGAAAGGCTATCATTAAAAACTCAGGAAACAACAGGTGCTGGAGAGGATGTGGACAAATAGGAACATTTTTACACTGTTGGTGGGACTGTAAACTAGTTCAACCATTGTGGAAGTCAGTGTGGTGATTCCTCAGGGATCTAGAACTAGAAATACCATTTGACCCACCAATCCCATTACTGGGTGTATACCCAAAGGATTATAAATCATGCTGCTGTAAAGACACATGCACATGCATATTTATTGTGGCACTATTCACAATAGCAAAGACTTGGAACCAACCCAAATGTCCAACAATGATAGACTGGATTAGAAAATGTGGCACATACACACCATGGAATACTATGTTGCCATAAAAAATGATGAGTTCATGTCCTTTGTAGGGACATGGATGAAGCTGGAAACCATCATTCTCAGTAAACTATCGCAAGGACAAAAAACCAAATACCGCATGTTCTCGCTCATAGGTGGGAATTGAACAATGAGAACACATGGACACAGGAAGGGGAACATCACACACCGGGGCCTGTTGTGGGATGGGGGGAGGGGGGAGGGATAGCATTAGGAGATATACCTAATGTTAAATGACGAGTTAATGGGTGCAGCACACCAACATGGCACATGAATACATATGTAACAAATCTGCACGTTGTGCACTTGTACCCTAAAACTTAGAGTATAATAACAAAAAAAAATGGACTCTGAAATTAAACGGTTTGAGCCCGAAAAAAAAAAAAGAAAAAAAAAAGAAAAATAAATTCTTCTTTGTGCAAAAAAAGAAGAGACCCCCCCCTCCCTTTCTTAGAACATTTACCTTAGAATTCTTCTCTTTCCCTTTGAAATGCATGCAAATCTTTTTAAAAGCTAAATAAACCTCTTTCCAGTTCTACAACTCAGGAAAAAAAAAAAATATATATATATATATATATATATTTTTTTTTTTCTTAAGGACCTGGGAGCCATCTCTTTGAAATGCAATCATCAAGGAAGATAGTGCCCCCTATCTTCTAATTTCTGTGACAAGCTAGGAGCCTATAGTTTAGTTGGTGCCTGGCCCCAAGCTGCAAACCTATCTCCTGTCATAAAGTTATGAGAAACGTATTTTTCCTTTGGATAAAGGCAATTAGCAAAAACAGGTGGCCAACCGAATTACCAGGTGAATTTAGAATGAACTATGTGTTCAATGGTGCTGTCAAGTCCTCTTACCTGATGACTAGTTTTTGTTTATCTTGAGAAAATGTATGCAATGTGTTGTATCTGCTCAGCTTTATAAAAAGCTAAAAGTTATTTTTTGTCTCTGCAGTCTCTTTAGCAGATTGCCTGTGATGCACATCACGTTCTGGTTTAATGCTTATTCAACAAATAAAAGATTTTTTTTTTCTCTTCTACCTTTGTGGAGAAGATTTCTAGGTTGGCGGAGGATTTTGTTTTTAATTATATTTCTCCAACAAGAGACAGCCTTTATGTAAGGTTATTTTGATACTTGAAAAAGGTAATTAACTAAAGGACAGGAATATTGTATAGAGTGGAAAGACACTGTAGTAGTTTAATCCATCTTAGATATGCTTTAAGATTATCTATTTCATGCATTTCTGGGACATGAACAAGTTTAAGGTTTGGTCCTCAATTAATAAACTTTTCCAACTCTCCTCATTCTCTTCCCTATTATATCTTAGGAAGGACTTGTTTACAAAATATGTTGAATTTTTTCTTTTGTCCAAATCACTCCATGAGGTCAACGCATGATTTGCTGCCTTTTTATTCATTCCTATTTTGCTGGCATACTCAAAATAAATTGAAGTCTTTAAATATTTTAGGGTTAGGAAGAATTTAAAAAATCATCTACACGAATACTTCAGAGTCCTAATGGGATTCAAAGACATAAAAAGTAAAATCCAGGCTCCTCAATATAGCCTATGATGGGGTGTGTCCTTCCTGCTCTGGCCTTATTTCCTACCACTGTTTCACTTTCTCCTAGCCTATTTGATATTTTGCTATTCTTCAATCACAGCAGACAAACTCCTTCACCAGGGTATTTGTATTTGCTGTCAGAGGCCTATACTTTGCTTCAAATGTCTGTGGATCACACATTCATTTCCTTCAGTTGTCTTTCTTAATGTTATCTTCTCTATCAAAGGCCTCCTAAATAATGCAACAAAAGTAGCATATATAACACCCTCCCAGGCACATCCTTTATTCCCTTACTCTGCTTTAGTTTTTTTCATAGTATTTATCATGATCCTAACTTGCATTTATTTGCAAATAAGTAAATCAATGAATGAATGAGGCTGTAACAAAAAAGTATGGCTATCCCAAAGTTACTTTGAATGTTTGCTTGCAATCTGTATTTTAATTTGTTTGCCCTTCTGTGTACTCCTCTGTAACACAACAAAATTCTTTCAAATAAAATAAAACAGGAATCCAAGGATTAATTCAGGGGACAATCAGACATTATATTCTCACATTATAGCTAAGCATAAGAAGGTAGATAGGTGAAAATGACCAGCGGTTCTTGAACTTTAGTGTGCATCACAGTGACCTTGAGGACATATTAAAATACAAATTTCCAGACACCACTGCCAGAATTACGATTCACAAGGTCTGGAGTGGAGACTGAGAAATCACATTTTGATTAAGTTCCTAGGTAATGCTGCTGGTACTGCTGCTGTGTGAACAATGCTACGAGAACCATTTGAAAGGTAGAGCATCTATAAGTTGGTATTTCATATTTATAACCACTTTATCCACCCTAGGAGATGGCTCTTATGTGGGAGTGATGCCTGTGTCTGAACTGTATATGGTCTCAAGCAGTAACAATATATATACAGAATGATTTAAGAAATCATTCTTGATATTTTATAATTTCTTTATTATGCAAAGAAAACTTAGAGAATAACTAAATGCAACAATCAAGAAAAAAAGCACGATATATTCTATATCCGTTCCAGAAATATATTATAACTTCTAATTAAATACTTCTAACCTCTAAGTATGATCAGAATATTTCTACTCAGATATTATGAGAAAAAAATTGAATCACTTTTTTATGTGGATGCAGATAGGCAAACATATATACTAGGAAAGAATGGTAATATTTGATAATTTAACAAAGGTCTTTCACTGGTTTTATTGCCAGTTAGATACAACCCCTGACCTGTTTTTAAATTCCTTCATCAAATAAATAACTGTGTAATAATAAAATCTAAAGGAATTTTAAGAGATTGTATAATCCAACCACTTAATGAGCTGTTTGAGAAACAGGAGATGTTCAACTTTATAATGCTTTTCCAATATGGTCATTAGAACTTGGATTGGTATGGAGTTACTTTTTTAAACAATTATCTTTTCAAGAAAGGCTTTTTAAATTTTTTGTTTATTAGCTTTGTTATATGCTGGGCTATTAACAGAAAAAAGTTTTCAAATTTGGAATTCACTGGCTGTATGTTCCAAAGGAAACTCCAAATTGAAATAAATGTTGACCTAAACTGTAGGTCTATCACCTTACCTTGTTTTAACGAGTATGCTCAACTCTGAAATACTGAACCATTTTATAGAAAAACAAAGTTGTAATCATTCAAAAATGTGTCATCTTATTCTGTGACCCTTCAGGTGTAGAAGAATTTAAGTTCAAATATGCAAACGATACCATCCAACCAATTCTTCTCTCAGCAGAGATAGACGATGAAAGTGCCAATCTAAACAGGACTATATAGTAATCAGGCTAAAACATGCAGAAGAGACAAGAATCATTCAAGTACTTCAGAAAAGAAACATTTCTCTCTTTTTTCATGAAAGTAAAGGTATACAAAATTTTAGAAATCATCTAACTGCGGGCATCTGTATATTTACAGATGGGTGATGCTGATGATCAGCCCTGGTTGAAAAATATTTATTGGGTTAGGTCAATGTCTATATTTTGCATCTGAGAAGACTGAGGCCAACGATGTCTGCTCCATCCCTGAACTTTCATTAAAAAAATTCAGAGTATTTTTTATTCTTCAGATAAACCTTGCCTTTGTAGTCCTTGTGTCTAATTGGGTCTGGGACCTTCTACTATAACTGCTTGTTTTATTGATTTTTCTTTTCTTAAAAAAATTGGACACTGGAAATATCACTTCTTCTATGAAGCATACTGCAATGCCACCTCATAGTCAAATAGTTCATCCCCAGCTACTGCATTCCCCAATATAACACTCTTCTCACTTTTTTTCTATATTCCAGACTCAGCAGAAATTTCTTAAATACTTATATCTAGGTCATCATGGGAAAATGGGCAGTAATAAAAGCACCCAGAGAAGGCACAGAGGAACAAAACGGAAATACGATGGCACTATTTTGTTTCCTAATCTTTATCAGGTCTCTCTGAGAACACACTTGAATTAAAATGAATGTTACCTAATGATAGTATATTTGCTAAATAATATGCAGTATACTGGAAGATAGAAATGGTTGGATAATTTTCTCCAGAAATCTTCCAATGCAGGATTTCTAGTAGACCACTTCATAATTTCATCTGTTTATAGGCTTTTGTGCTTATAATAATTTTTTGCTATAATAATTTTTTATATAATTTTTGCTATAATTTTTTGCTTATAATAATTTTTAAAATTATTTTGAGAAATATAAAACAGAGGACATACAAGTATATTATTGAAATATTTATATCATACTGACTTGTATCCAGGTTAAACCTAATTCAATTTATCTACCTGCTTCAGGACAAGAATTTCAAAAACCCTTGTCATATGCAACTGAGAAGGATACTTGAAATGACCCCTCCCCCAATACATTTTTCCCCAGAGGCAGCATGTAAAATGATTATGAGAATTCACTCTGAAGCAAAACTGCTCATGTTTGGGTCCCAGCTCTGACACTTGACAGGTCTGTGAGCTAGAGTACACTATTTAACCATTCTGTGTATCTATGACTCCAAAACATAAAAAAAAAAAAGAAAAAGAAAACAGAAAAGTGATGATCACTCAACAGGAAGGTTTATCACATCTGATACATGTGAACTGCAACAGACAAGCTGGTGGTTGCCTGCCGTTGCTCTCGACTGTTCAAAATTCAAGTGTCTTTGAGTCTCAACACAAACTTTAAAACTATAAAGATTTAATTTGAGTGCCTGAAGCAGAACTATTGTAGAATCTCTTCTTTTTCAAAGCAATATAAAACCAAGTGGAAAAATAGCCTACTGTGATATGTGCTCCTCTTGCTTTCCAATTATCTGCCCCCTCCCCTTTGACCATTATTGTCATTGACTTCACTATATTTCATCGACCAATACCAATTAGGCTATTATGTAACTATCACTTCTAAATTCACAATGAAGGCTGGCATGCCATCTTCCACGGATAATGAGAAAGTGAACCACCTAGGCTACATTACAGGTTTTATACATATTTATTTTATGTGATGCATTGCTCAGAGAAGGAAAAATTATACTTCCTATTCAATCTCATGAAGTTCCTACTTCTAGAAACATTGATCAAAGATGTGAACATTTAATATACTTTATAAATTGAATACAACCACAGATTACTCATAGGAAGCTTACATTGAATCCAACAATAATGCATTGGATGATAACCTTACAAAAGTGGAAAACTTCTTTATTTTTAAAATTTGGCTGAGTATTTGGCAGAGGCCCCAAACTAGAAAACATGTATGTGTTACCCATTAAAAAGCTTCTTGCTCCTGCCTTGAGGCCATGTACTTGAAGTCTGCTATTTAGCAGACAGAAACAAATGTAATCTTTACGAAATCCTTTCCAAAATACAAAAAGTAGATTTTAATCATAACCTCAAAAATACCTAATATCCCCTTTCTCTTTTTCTCTTTTCTGGTCTCATTCTCCTATACTTCAGCTCTCCTTTTTTGATTTCCCAAACTCTTCCCAAACCCAGCCAATGGAGAATTCCCAGCTATCTCTCCTCATCTCCTACTTTACCTGTCCTGCTTATTTTGCTTGCTTTCACCATAACTCCACACCATTCCCAATGTCAATCAAGCAAGGTTCTAAGGAGCTCAATCCATTAAACAGATCTTCATAAAAAGGCTCAGGAGCCCATAAGAAAGGAGCTACTTTTCCATAGCTGGCTTTCAATACTCAATGTATTTTTAATATTTTTGTCACGTCACAGTGTTTATAGGTTTTTATTGATAAATATCAGAATGTTGGGTAAAAGATAAAACTAAATATGTGTTACACACTAAACATTTAATTTTTTAATGTCAGACAGCTCTGAAGTGCCTTTGTAAAGAACTCATTATAATCTTATTTTACATATGTTTCCTCTTCCTTATTTCAGTATTTTAGTTAGAATTTTTAAACTACAGTGCCAATGAGATAAAGCTTATGTTGGGATGTGGAGAGCTAATTGGTTTAAGTCTAAGAGAAATTCTAAAACTGAGATAATTACTGAATTGTTTTTTTTTAAAACTCATTATCCTACTCAGTAGAAATTAATATATCCTAACAATTTAACAAAAATAGTTTTAAAAAATTATTTGAAGGCATCGTTTATTCCAGTTGACAGCATTATGATGATGAGTATTAAATGCAAAACACTTTACTACTGACTATAATATTAATTTTTCTTCCAGGATTATTATTGAATTAAATAATTTATGATGGACGATTAATGTGCTAATTATGTCCACTTTGAGAATTAGTTCAATAATTATTTACTTTCTTCTGCTTCTGAGTAATTAATTAGAGTAGATGCATTATAGTTTACATTGTCTTGTCTCATAAAAAGAAGTTAGTATTATCTATTGAATATTTTAGAAACCAGTGAATTTTGCAGTTTTGGCACCTGGCTGGACTTTTTTTTTTTTTTTTCTTTTCTCTTCCTCTGTATTTTGGCTGCTTGTTTTCTGACTAATATTTAACCCAATTGTAACCAAATTTATAAATATTTTAATTATTAAATATATCATAAACAATTGCTTAGTGCTCTATAAAGTCCATCTTAACACTGATTTATCCCTCAATATTACATTTTTTAATTATTTTAAATTTCAAAGATAATATATAGTCACTTAACAACAATTCAAGTGACTCAGCATCATATATTTATTTGTTTTCACACATTATCATCCACATACATTCACGTATCATAGAATTGCAGTTTTCACACTTTTTTTTGCAATCATCTCAGTTAATACTTTCTCACTTCTGCAAACCTCATATTATTAGAAAATTATGTAATGCAAACAATTTGAATGTAGAAAAGAGCCTTAAGGGCTAAAAGTTTACACGCTAGTGACAAAAACTTTGTTCTTGAATTTTATAGCTATCTGTGTACAATTATGAAGCCTACTTTTACAGCATTGTAGTAAATGTAACTTCTTCTCCAAAGTAAAAAAGGCCTTTTTTCTACTTAACATCAGTGATCTTGTCATTAGCACAATACTTCTTAAATCCTATAACTGTTATCATTTACTGTTATGATAAACACAATTCAAAGTTACTAAAACAAAACTGTTCTGTTTCACATAAATTTTAATTCCAGTAAGGAAGTGGTGATTCAATTAAAACAAATAGCAGTCTTCAGAATGCAAATTATCTCTAAAAATTAACTAATTTTGCTATATCCAATTAAAAAACTAGTGCTTACCTTTATAAAAATAACTCTGTACTATTTTATAATTTACTTTTAATCACAACACAACACTGTAAATATTACAATAGAGCATTAAATGTTTTTTGTTTCAATGTTCTTGCCATTTTAGAAAACTATTGGAAGAATTAATTTTAGCAACTTTTTTCATATACTGATGTGTTTCTGTGAAATATATTTCTGATTGAAATTTTATTTATTTATTTATTTATTTTAAGATGAGGTCTTGCTCTGTTGCCCAGACTGGAGTGCAGCAGCATGATTATGATTTACTGCAGCCTTGAAATCCCAGGCTCACGGGATCCTCCCATCTCAGCCTCTCGGTAACTGGAACTACAGGTATGCACCATCATGCCCTGCTAATTTTTTTTTTTTTTTTTTTAAATAGAGACAAGGTCTCGCAGTATGTTGACCAGGTTGTTCTCAAATTCCTGGGCTCAAGCAATCCTCCCATTTTGGCTTCCCAAATTGCTGGAATTACAGGTGTGAGCCACCACACCCAATCTGAATTTTTTTTTTTTTAATGTATAAAAAAGTTGTTTCTGGCTATATATTGCCTAATATCTAGCCTGCTAGAAGACTTACAGTTACTTATAATATTAATATCAATGATTTAGCACACAAAATTTAAAACAACTTTACAATAACAGTGTTGAGATTTTCTCTTTTGTATTATGTTTTGCTATTTTCATAAGTTTAGAAGATTATTTCAAGGCTGAGTATTACTGTATGAGTTTGTATCTTATGCATGTGTTTGGTATTTTTTATTTAATGTTTGTTTAGTCTTTGTATTTCTCATTGCGTTATTTATTTTCTCACATTCTATATTTTCTACATAAATTATGGTTAACCTGTTTTACCCTGTTAGCAATGTAACAGAGTAAAATAACTAATATCTAAAAGATTACCCCCATCCTGATAGCAAGCAAGAGTACCATGCAGCTTAACCGAGTTGTTCTTTAGTGAATAGCTATCCAAATAGTATTTTTCCCCTCCTGCATCATATAACATACATGGAAAATATATTACAATGAAGTCCAATTTTTTTTTAAAAGCTCATCATCCATTCATCCATTAAATGGTTGCTTATTTAGAGCCACAAAAGTAATGACAAAAACCACAATTACTTTTGCACCAACCAAATAAATTTCAACACAATTATATGAACACACACACAGTATGTGGTATGCTATTTCTTTTTATTTTACTATTAGAACTATCTGTGTATATAAATGAGGGCAATTAGGCTTATATTTACTCAGATATATAGACAGAAAAGTCAAAAGGGAAAAGTCAAGAAGAAAAGTTTATTTTACAGTGATAATCCCGTAAGACAATTTTTCTACTTAAAAGTGTTTTCTTTTGATCAGTTGTAATGTTCATCATTTATTCCAAGTTTACTCTACATAGTGTCCCAGAAGGAGAACTCATCAATATTTAATCAGCTAAATTTCTTCTCATATCTTTTTGTCTTTGCAAAGTGAGCTGTAAGCATTTTCCTGCATAACCTCACATAATTTTCTTATCTTGTAACTCTGTAGATCCTTTACCTTAACCAATTTGGACTTGGATCTACACTAAAATCAAGACCACTTTCATGTTTGCTCTTTTGATATGTCTGCACCTATTGGCTCTTAGTTACCAGAGTTGAAGGAACTTTGAAATGAAACATTTCAAAGTCACTTTTTGAATAACATACTCTTGACTGAGACTGGCACTAACATTTTAACCTTTCTTTTAGCATATAATAATAAGGAGAAGACTTTTGACTTTACGTTTTCGAAAATCATTTGCTTTTGAGAATATTCAATATTATTGAAAGAGATGAATAAGTTTGTTGTTCAGAAAAACAAAAGCAAAACATTTCAAGGTGTAAAAAGTATATAGATCAGTAGTCTATAAGTAGCCCAAATTTGTATTAAACATCAAAAAATAGAGGGACCAAAAGATACTAAATATTTAAGAGGAATTAAACACACATAAGGTACCGGTGCACTAAATATTCATATACTAAAAATACATGAGCATCTAATATTCATAAAGCCTTAATTCACTATTCATCATTGACAAAGATTCTGGCTCCCTGCGTTTTTTCTCAAAGAAACACAAATAAAATCTATGACTGGTCAGCAGGCTGATTGGCAAACTATAGCTATGAGCCAGGCATACTGTTCCCGTGTCTTTCCCACAAAGCAAACACAAGTTATTAGGCTACCGTAAATCCCCCTCTATGGGCTCCTTTGTTTGAAACCACAACTCTAGGCCTTACAGCCATTTAGCCAATGGGGAAAAATGGATATGGCAGAGAGTACACACAAACATAGTGATATGGACAGAAGACAAGGAAACACTGGGTAGAAGACGGTGGTTCCCCAGCAAAGGCCCCAACTCTCAAGCCTGAAGACCCACAGTTCTAAATGGGGACAACAACAATAGTATACTCCAGAATTCAGGTATTTTGGTCTTTTCAACATGCTTGCACCTTATTTTTTATTTTTATTTTATTTTATTAATTAAAATAAACCTTTTAACCTATCCCATCTCTCTCTCCTTTGCTTCTCCCTATGTTTTAAATCGATTTAAAAACTATGTGATCAGAGCAATTTAATTTGGTCTATGAGTCTCTCTGTTCCATGACGTCCAGGTAGTGAAACTGGAGGCTGCCTTTGTCTCAAGGTAATTTTCTAAATGACAACTTTTATTTCAGTTAGTGCTCATATCCTCAACATTACCATATAGCACATGTTTGGGATTTTTTTTTTTTTTTTTGATGGAGTCTCGCTCTGTCGCCCAGGCTGGAGTGCTTTGGCGCAATCTCAGCTCACTGCAACCTCCACCTCCTGGGTTCAAGTGATTCTCCTGCCTCAGCCTCCCGAGTAGCTGGGCCTACAGGTGACGCTACCATGCCCGGCCAATTTTTTGTACTTTTAGTAGAGATGGGGTTTCACCGTGTTAGCCAGGATGGTCTCTATCTCTTGACTTTGTGATCCGCTCTCCTCGGCCTCCCAAAAGGCTGGGATTACAGGCATGAGCCACCGCGCTCGGCCTAATTTTTGGTAGTTTTAATGGAGTCGGGCTTTCACCATGTTAGCCAGGATGTTCTCCATCTCCTGGGTTTCACTGTGTTAGCCAGGATATTCTCCATCTCCTGACCTCAAGATCTGCCCACCTCAGCCTCCCAAAGTGCTGGGAGGCCAAGGCGGGCAGATCACGAGGTCAGGAGATTGAGGCCATCCTGCCTAACACGGTGAAACCCCATCTCTACTAAAAATACAAAAAAATTAACCGGGCGTGGGAAGCTGAGGCAGGAGAATGGCATGAACCCGGGAGGCGGAGCTTGAGGTGAGCCCAGATTGCGCCACTGCACTCCAGCCTAGGCGACAGACAGAGGGAGACTCCGTCTCAAAAATAATAATAATAATAATAATAATAATAATAATAATAAATAAATTAAATAAATAATCTGATTCCTTAGTATACCAGAAATTAGTCTGACCCAAAATGTCCCAATACTTGAAATAATCAGATGGATAATTTCAGAAATGGCTGATGTTTATTGAAATTTAACACAAGATACAGAAAAATGCATATGTTTTTCAAGAATTTAGAATTTTTTTCTCTTATTTTATTTACTTATTTTTGAGATAAGACCCATTTGAGCCTTATGTACTGAAGGAACTGATTCGTTAATGAGAATGTTCAAAACACCATCTGGGTATTTTTTTCTTTTGTATTTTGATGTTTCATAATGATAATGCCAAGCAATGAGATATGTAAATCTGCTCATTTCTTGGAAAGAAAAACTAATATCTAGGAGATAACCCCCATCCTAATAATAACAGGCAAGAGTACCACTCAGCTTAACTGAATTGTTCTTTAGCAAATAGCTATCCGAATACTAATTTTTTCCCTCCTGCATCATATAACATACACTGAAAATATTTTTACAGTAAAGTTCAATTTTTGTAAAAGCCCAAACATCCATTTATCCATTAAATGCTTGCTTCTTTAGAGTGATGTAAATTCCAACACAACAAAATTATATAAACACACACAAACTATACGCGTGCACGTGCACATACATAATCTATCTTTTGTGTCATCCTTAGCATAAAAAGGGGGGAAAAGACTGTAAGAATTGGTAAAGGGTGTTCCCACACTTGTTGAGACGTCAACTTAGAATAAAAATACGTTGATTATAATTCAAATACAAGAACAATGTTGAATTCAGACTGTCAAGTGACTGCTAGCCAGAATCAGGATTCTGACTCAGACAGAAGTTCTCCCTTTGGGCAGAGCCTTGGGCATTTAGAAGCAGCCTGCTATCTTCGATCAGGGTTTACAGAATTTATCTAGTCTTTTTGAATTTCTGG
Source organism: Homo sapiens (assembly GCF_000001405.40). Taxonomy (NCBI): domain Eukaryota; kingdom Metazoa; phylum Chordata; class Mammalia; order Primates; family Hominidae; genus Homo; species Homo sapiens. Next base: position 85,475 of record NW_019805489.1, on the reverse strand, counting down.
CTATGTGATCTCATAATTTGACTCTAGCCCTTCCTCTGCTTGGAAGTTGTAGAATAAGCTCTGGCATCTTGCAAGCAATCTTCACAGAGCCAATGCACAGTTAAGCTCCCAGTGGCTCTGATGAGTTGATCTCCCATTGTTGAACACAAACATTGACCAATTAGTCAGTGATACAACGTAATTGTTTTTAAAATAGTTCATTACCAGACAAAATTAAAATACTTTTGTTTCTGATTTTGGACATCTTAGCTTGTGACTGACTGGATTTCAAATGGACACAGTCATATTCTGCCCCGTTCATCCATCCCTTTTCTTTGTTACAAAATGAAATTTCTTCACATGAATCACTCTCTATGATTACAAGCATTTCTCCTTCTTGTTTGCTTATTCAACTCCTCCCTTATACAATTTTATTACAAGTTGGAGGTCTCCCAATTCTGTGTCTTAAGCTCTCATTACATTTTACTTCATTTTTCCCCCATAACAATTCCTCCACACCCAGGCCTTCAATTCGCACATCAATAGAGTTGACTCAAATTTTTACCCCCAGTCCGCACTCTTCTCTGAAAATCAGACCAGTATTTCTAACATACATACTACTTAATCCCTCTTCCTGAATTTTTGCAGGTATCACACTGTGTGTCAAATGTAAATTAAGAGCATAACTCAAAGCTGCTCTACTTCCTGCAGTTCCTCTTAATGCAATGTTCTTTCAATTCACCTATTTTTGCATGCAGAAACTAGTAAATTATAGGCCACCTCCTCTGTACAGTTTAATAGAGAACACTGCTGCCCCTTCCTGATACTTATCTGTTGATTCCACTCATGTGGTTTAAATCTTTACTGCTACCTCTCTATTCTAAGACTATAATCACTCTCGTCCAGAGCTTATTGACACACTCTTTCATTGCCCTCACTAGATCTGTTCTTTTGCCCGTCTAATGGTCCTATAACACCGCATCCAAAAGGACTTTATGAAACATAAATATGATCGCTATAACATTTCAATGGCTTCTTATTGTGATGTCTATCCCATTACCTTCACCCTCAGTTCTATCTTACATCCTGCTCTCCTTTACTCTTTGCAAAAAAGAGGGCGTCTGTCCACTTTTTCACGTTTGTTCTTTCACAGCATCGTAACCTATGCCGCTCACTGTAAATCTGAACCACCTGCCGAGTTCTCTAAGCTAAGGCATACTTATGCCTCAGATAATTGTTTATTACTCTCTCAGGAGAGTCGTCCCTGACTTTGACTTCCCATAAAAGTCTAGGTTGGGCTACCAGCTATATGTGCTTACTGTATCATGTAAATATGTTAAAATTCAACATTTTTGTGAAATTATTTAAGTGGCCATTTTTTTTTCCTCTAGACTAGAAGCTCTGTAAGAGCAAGGATGTTGGGTATTTTTGCTCACGTTTCCCAGTGCTTTAACAGAATGCCTGGCATGAGTAAGTCCTCCATAAACATCTGTGGAATAAATCAGTAGGTGAGTGTAAGAGAAGATCTGTTTCCTGAATTTTTCTTTGGAGTTCTTGGTTCTACATCAATTAGTGTTCATACAGAGCTTCTCTGTGGGTTACAACTCAACCATCTGGAATCTTTTAAATGAAACTTAAGAGATCATTTCAAAAGATAAACAACTTTTAAGAAATGTTTCTATTAAAATAGTGTATGTACATAGTTTCAAAAGAAGACTACAGTTGAGCTTATGATAAAAAGTAATCAATTACACGTTCTTCCTGTTGGACCCCAAGCCCATTTCCCAAAGGCACTGTCTTTAACTATGTCCACATTTAGTGCTTTTGGTAATTACTTTTATAGCACTATTTCTAGATTTATGAATTATTTAGACAATATAAATTTATTTCCTGATATACAAAATGAGATTTTAATTTAGGCTATTCTTTCCTATCTCTTTCCAAAGCTTAATCCTTATACAATTATGTTTGGTTATTTAGTCACTTGTCTTTCTACTTTTAAATAATATCTACTTCTTTAACTTCATTAACCTTCCATATTTCAGCAATATCCCCTGATTCTTCCCTTTGAATGATGAATTTTACTTTTAAAACTTTGGACTTTGTGATTTTACTCTAATATTTTGAACTTTCCTGATAAAGGTTATATTAACAAATGCATAATCTAATTATGTCAGTGTTCTTTCTCTAAGTTTATACATCATTAAATATGTCTAAAACAAGAAAAAATTGCTCTGAAAGTAAAATAGTTAACATGCTATACATATCTACTTTTTTTAATAACTGAAAAATGTTGAACTACCTAAATTAATGAATTTACAAGTCATCTAAAATAATTTGGTAAGTTCTTGGGAGGGAGATTGGTAAAAAAAATGTTTTCCTTCTGTTTGTTTAAATAACATAAATTACACCTAGATTTCTTGTAATCTTATACTTATATATATTATTTCAAGTAATTTATAATAAGGTCTACCTGAACTTAAATTTAACATACATATAGAATTTTCACAGGCAAGGTGAGTCAACAATATGGGTAAGATCCACTCATCATAAGTTATTGATAAATATCACTCAAAATGATGACTAAAGATTTTTAGAAGTAAAAATGGAATACAATCACAAATCAATGACATCCTGGACAACTTTTGCCACAAGTAGGTAGGCACTTAGCTCAATTAACATATTTATTTTCTTTCTTTTTTTTTAAAGTAACAAGTAAAAAAGAGAATCTCTAATGACTTTTAGAAATTTCTCCATGTCTCCACAACTATAGAGTTTATGGTTTAATAAGATTATGTTTTTAAAATAAAACATATAAGGTTGATATTCAGAATACATAGAAAAGGAAACACCTAGAGTTCATGTGGAAAAGAAAAATCTCCATGTGTAAAAAAGTCATTTAAGAAAATACAATAGTGGCTATATACATTTTAAAGTAGGAAATGTAATATAAACTAGATGGAAAATTAAGTTGAGTTGGACAAAGATATGTGGGTATAGTGTAAATAACTGTAAATAAAACCCAAGAAAATGAATGAGGCTTAGTCATAGTTTATGAATAAGTGTACTAAGATTCTATTAAAAACTCAGCAATCCATTCACTTCAATTTTCTCAACTTTTTCATCTATTTGACTACCTATTCCAGCATGTGATTGTTTACTGCCAATACAAAATGTCCTTTAACAGTAATTCATTCAAATAAGAGAAAAAAAAGAATAGAAGCACATTTTAGGATTTTGATAATGACAATACAAGGTCATTAAAGAGATGATAACATGTTTATGCCCCTCAAAATAAACAAGACCAATCTATTTTACCATAACACAGTCTTTATGATTATTCAAAACACATCATCGCAGTATTCATTCTGAAACATTATATACAATCTCAGTTTCTTTATTCTTTTGAAATTTTATCAGGTGCTCCAAGTGTAAACTGGATTCTTTATTATTTCAAAGGCAAGTGTCAAAGAAAATGGTCATTCCAAAGCAGTAAGAATGCTATCCTGGTTATGAGATATTAAATATTTGTTAGTTTTTATATATGTTTAAATTTTTAAATTTCTGTTTAATACACTAATAATAATTGTATATATTTATGGGATACAAAATAATGTTTTGATTTTTGTTGTGCATTGTAGAAGAATTAAATCAAGCTAATTAACATATTCATCACCTCACTAACTTTTTTTGTCCAGTGAGAACATTAAAAATCTACTCTTTTATCAATTTTGAAATATACAATGCATTGCTATTAACTGAAGTCATCATGCAGAGCAATAGATCACCAAAACTGAGTTCTCTCCTATAAATAAAATTTTGTTCTCTTTGATCAACATGTTCCCTCTTCTCATTCCTTCCCCTTTCCCCTGTTTCTGCTAACCACTTCTTACTCTGTTTCTATGAGATCGACTTTTTAAGATTCCATAATGAACTCATAAAGTATTCGTCTTTGTGAGAAAAAGTTACAAATTAGATTTTATTAAAACAATGTTCAATGACCAAATCACCACCAAGTAAATTAAAACTATTGGCAGACCATTACAAAAATATCATCTTATAATAAGAAGTTTCTAATATACCTTTTTAAGATTCCCATTAGAGTACTAAAAACTAGGTTAGACAACCTGTTACTAAGCTGTAACGACAAGACTGATGGAACTTAATCGTGAAATCAATTAGAGGTTCACTATAGCTTATTGGCAGAAAATAAAACAAACCGATTTACCCAGTTTCATGCATCCTGATTTAGAAATATAATCTATAGCATCCAGAAACCATTCCTCAATTGCATGTCTGTGACTACTGCAGTCCGAAGCCAGTGGACTGCCTTTCTCACTTTCTCCCTCTAGTGCTAAGTATCTCTTTTTCTATATTTATTTGCAGAAAATATTTCCTAGAAAATGAGTGAATGAAAGGAAGGGTAAATCACATTGCATTATAGAAATGTATTTTTCCCTGGGTAGTAGTAGGGAAACATCATGAAGGTAATACACATTGAGGTTTGTAATGTAGAAGTATATATAAAACATATAGAGTGCTTTGCTTTCCTTGAGATCAGATTATGTTAAAACTAAGTACATGGAATATAAGCAGATTCTTCTTTAAAATGAACTCAGCCACATTCTGTGAATGTCTGATACGTGCTAAGAATGTGAATGTCAACTGGGCATCAACCACCTATCAACCATATAATATAGCTTTGTTTCAGAATAAGCAAATAAGAGAAAAAATGATTTATCATGGAAATCAGAAGAAAATTTCAGATAACTAGCTGACACTTTTATTATTTTATTTTTTTCAGATGGAGTCTCGTTCTGTCTCCCAGGTTGGAGTGCAGTGGTGTGATCTTGGCTCACTGCAACCTCTGCCTCCTGGGTTCAAGCGATTCTCCTGCCTCAGCCTCACAAGTAGTTGGGATTACATGTGCATGCCACTACACCTGGCTAATTTTTTTTCTATTTTTAGTAGAGACGGGGTTTCACCATGTTAGCCAGGCTGGTCTTGAAATCCTGATCTCTGATGATCCGCCCACCTCAGCCTCCCAAAGTGCTGGGATTACAGGCGTGAGCCACAGCGCCCGGCCGACACTTTTAATAAAATGCAAAAATCTATGATTTTTATTTGAATAAAACTGAACCAGGAAGCCATAACAAAAGAATGAAAAAAAAATGCACAAAATGTGAAGGAAGTGGGTGGGATAACAAGTGGAAAATAGTCTCAAAAGGCAATAGGAAATAAACTTCAAAAATAAAAGACAAAGAGGCACACAAGGAAAGGTTTGATGGTATATATACAGGATAGAAAATGGAGTACAGTCCCACCATTTATGTAATAAGTAGTATTATGTAACCACTATTATGTCTTTATGTAACCATATCATTTTCAAAAAGGGTAATAAAGACATATTTATAATAATGATATTAACACTGACATACTTTGCTGAAATAAACAGTAATGAGAAATTTTACCTTATTCAAACCTACTGCAAGACTAAAGTTATTTAAGCAGCCACTTAGGCAGTCCCACCTTTTTAATGGATAGAAGGAAAATTCATTTCACATTATCAGTTTCCCCCAAATTAATCTCTAACTTCACAGAGTTCTAAAAATGTTGTGTCTTAGTCAGGAGTGACAGTACTCAAATAAGGATACTCTACCCAATGGTTACGTAGCTGTATTTAAACCCAAGTTTGGATAATTGTCTTTAACAAATTAAATCCAAAGTTTAAAGCTAAAAATTACAAATTGCTGAATAATTTTCTTCCTGCCCAACTCTCTGACCTAATTTCACATCACCGTCTTTCTCATTCACTCCATTGTCATTTTGCAGCTATTACCTTGGTTTACTTTCTTCCTAGTAGTAATCATGACCGGAAATTATGATATTATTTGTTTAAGTGTTAGTATCTGTACTGCAACACCGGCTATAAACTCCATGAGGGTAAGCGCCTTGTCTGTCCTATTTATTACCAAATCATCAGCACTTACTATGTTCCCCGCACTTCTAGCACTGCCTGGACCTTAGCCGGTGCTCCATACATAAATAAATGTGAATAAAAAAAGAAATATGCAAGTAATCTCTAGAATCAAGAATAAAAAATGAAATAATTTTTACCACAGTATTCATGTTTAAAATCACTAAGAAAATATTAAAACGAAGTTAATTACAGCATAGTACTTAACCTCATAGGATTATTGGCAGATTAAATGAGACAATGCACACAAACAATGTAACACAAGGCCTGACAGCCAGGAACATAGGTGTTCAAGAAACGTTCTTTTCATTCATTGTTCATTGTTATTTCTCCAGCAAAATGTGTGTAAAGAAATTATTAAGTCACCAGGATTGATAAATTTTAATGTGTGCCAAATATATTGAAAGAAAATATATTAGAAAGAAAATATTAACACATTTAATTATGCATAAGAAATTATCAAAAGAAAGTCTGCAAAGTTTTTAAATAACATTAATAATTTATGGAAAATTTCATATTTGAAAAAAAATTATCGTATATAAACCTTAAGTTCATCTCAGTAACATTAAAAGTTTGTGCATATTTACTAATGTTCAAAAGAGTTAAATTATTGTTACATATCCTCCTCAAAATGAGCTTACTAAAGTATACATGGCACTTTCTTTGGCAATTTAGAATCATGTATCTACCTGAACACCACCACAATAATTATTTATTATGTTGAATTATAAGAGGGTCTTATAAAAATAACTTACAGAGATAAAATTATAAATTAAATGCAGGTAATTATCAAAGCAAAATCTTCAAATTAACTTTATGTTTAAAAGATGTTTAAAGTTGCATTTTAAATCTTGAAGAACACTACTTCTATTGCTAATATAGACATGTGCAGCTTAAAATGAATCAAAATCTATATATTCATGAGTTACAATGAATTAAGCCCCACAGGATAAAGTTGGATATAGGTGATTGTATAGATTGTACTATTAAGTAATAAGTTTTTGTGAAAATCCATTTCTATTTCAAGTCATCTAATTTGCCTAGTGAAATTATAAGAAAGATAATAAAATTAAAATATTTTCCTGGAAACATATTTCATTCAAATACAACTGCAAGTGATTAATTGCTAGCCTCAGTAAATATAATGTTCCCAGAAATGTGTGTTGCCAAAGTAATTTATCTCACCACATGGATAGTAGTAAAGTGCTGATGGTCCTTGATATATGAGGTCAACTTGTACATGGTTCAGATGCAGCTTTAATGAAATTCCATTTAGAACTGTAACCATAGATATTCTCAGCAGTTTACAAAAGCAGGGAAAAAGGACTTTACATTTTTCTATGTGTCATAGCTACTGCTAGTATTTCCATATTAAAGGTTTCATGCGACTTAGTAAGAATTTAAATCTAGTTATTGTGTTACATGTACAGTTACCAGTAGATCATGTGTAATGTCAGTCAACATATACCTTCTCTGACTCTCTACATTGCATTGCTTTGGATATGTATGTTCTTGTTTGGAGGACACTTAGACTCACACGGCTTTTGCAACTGATCTTCCTTCAGAAGTTGTGGCTATTCGACGTTCAGGAATACAGATGGGTAACAGTTATTTGGTGATTATAGGGCACTTTCATTAGCAAATTATTATATTCTGTAGGCAGAAAATCATAGGTAGAAGCACATTTAAAGAAAATCTAATGTTATTTCCTGAAGACCTGGGAGGTCATGCTATTTATCTAGGATTGCACAATGAGTTTCTGGCAGAACTGATGAGGATCAGAATCCAGGCATTCTGGCTCCAAAGCAAGTACTTGCTGTTTCCACTACATTGTGTTACTTCAGATATTGCCAGAAAGTGGATCATAGATAACTGTGAGAAATTGTGGCTTTATATAATTCAGCTTGGGGCTCAGAAACTAAACCAAGATGTTTTAATATATGCCATCTATGTCCCCCAAATGTTTTGAGTATGTATAATAAAATGCATACAAACAAGCTGGAGAGAGCCTGTATTTTGTAAAACTATAGGCTCTTTTCTCATACTACTATTCCCAAGACCTGGAAGAAAGCTGTGAACATGTTTAACACTTTATAAATATTTGTTTTATAAACAAATACATAAAGTTTATATATTAATGAACTCATAGGATGTGGCATCTAATGCTGATTCAGTTCTAATGCCGTGCGAGTTTAGAAATTCTGCACAACCAAATCTTTGTGGCAGCCAATGTTTCTTAAGTAATGTCAATGATGTCTAATGAGTTCCTTAAAAATTATTCTTCTCTACCAAACTTAATGAAAGATAAGGCAAAAATAAATATATCAAAGTTTGTGATTTGAGTAGACATTTCTTACTTTATTATTGTCAAAATAACTCAAATTTGTCATTATTTTCCTTTTAACTATATGAATGACTCTGGAATTTTAGACAATGCCTATTGACTAGTAAAATAAAGTGGGCGGAAAACAGAAAAAAAATATACGATATTCCTTTACTGAGCTATCTATTTTAGTACCAAGGCTTTAATGCTGTTATTTGGCTTTATGTTGGCATATCCACCTGGTACCCATTCAAAGGACTAAATGAATATCCACACCATATTGATCTGACATTTTGTAGCAACCAAATAAAAGCATCTCTTAGACATCTACAAAACAAATGGTTAATCTACTTCCAAGGGACAATTCACTTCTGTATACCTCTACTGCACAGCTTCAAAAAATAAAAAAAGACTCTGAAATTGTGAAAGGTCTAATAAAGTTCAGACAGGAGGGAGAGCTGGGGAATAGACACAAAAATAAGAGTGAAAACAAAGCAAAAAAGAAAAGGAAGGTGAAAAATATCTCACAGGAAGCCCTCTGAGGGAAGTAACTCACACCAAACCTCTGCTTATCCTTCTCGCATTCAGCATTCTGAGGACACACACACATCCCCAAACAAAATAAAACAAACAAAAAAATAAAGCTCAAACCAGAAACTGGCATGCGCGGTAACTCCAGAAGCATGAGTTCATTCGTTTTGTTCATTTCAAAAATATTTATGAAGAATTTAAAAGTGTCAAAGTAGAATTTAAAAATGCAAGAGGTGTGAATATGACCTTGCCCTTCTCTCAGAGAGCTCACAGACAAGTAGAATCAACCAATCATTTACAGCATAGTGCTAAGTCTGGTCAAAGAAGGAATGCATAGGCTGTTGTGGTGGGCACAGAGAGGGAGCCAATTTTTTCAGAGCTGGAGGAGGAGAGGGAGTGTATTACAAAGGGTTTCCCAGAAGATACTAAAATCCAGTTCTGAAGGAATGACCATTAGCTGGTATAAACTTCATAGATAGTGGGAATGGCACGTTGGAAAGGCTCTGAAGAGAGAAACAGGATGACATCTATGGAGACTACAAATACTTAGTATAGTATAGCTGGAAAAATTATATACACCTGTTTATATAATTATAGATTATATTAAAATAGATGAGGCTGGAGGTAAGCAAGACTCAGATAAAAAGGATTCTGTTCACTAACTTATATTTGTGTATTATAGTAAGCAGTAGGGAGCCATTGAAAGAACTGAATCATTTGCAATGATCACTCTAAAAGCAATTTTAGAAAGGATTGAAGGAGACCCAGTTATGAGGCAAGAAGAAGCATCAGTCTGCTTGGCCCAAAGAATTGCTCTGGGGTAATCAGCTCATATTTGTGATGTTAAATGTGATTGCTTTCTATTAAAAGTAATCATCTGTCACATTAAATTAACTGTCAATTTGCTTTTTATTGACTTTATAGTTTTGTTTGTATTGAATGTGTAAATTACAATTTGTTTTATGTTTTCAAACTGGTTCCCATTCAGTGCCCCATAATACACATACCTGGTCATTAAAGATTAATTGTACCTGAAAAATTTAAATTTATTAAGAAATATTTTCCATCAACCTATTAATTCATATCAATCTAGTACCATGATTATAAGTGTCTAGAGAGATGAAAGTTAGATAGATTTGAATGAGAAAGAGAAGATATAAGTGCCTTAGGAAGTCACTCCATGAAGTTAATCTCAACTAGGCTTTAACATCTCCTGCCACCAAAATAACCTACATTATCAAATAATGCTCCTTAAATACTCATGATCGTCTACTGGACTTTTATGCTTACATGGAAGGAGCTTCACCGAAAAATAGCGATGTATTTCACTCCAGGTAAAATCAGTTGTGTCTCAGACTGAAAAATAGGTATACATATAATAAATACAGTCATGCACTGCATAAAAACGTTTTGGTCAATGGCAGACCACATATATGATGGTGGTCTCATATTGCACATTTTCTGTGTTTAGCTGTTTAGACACACAAATACTTCCCACTGTGTTACAATTTCCTGTAATGTTCAGTACAGTAACATGTCTTACAGGTACAGGTTTGTAGCCTAGGAGCAATAGGCTATACCTATAGCCCTGGTGTGTGTTAGGCTATATAATCTGGGTTTGTGTAAGTACACTCTCTGATAGGTACACAATGACTAAATTGCCTAAGGATTACCTCAGAACATATCCCTGCCTTTAAGTGACACTTGATTGTATGTACATAAATATACACACATTCCATTCAAAATATAAATCCTTTGACTTTTTTTTATTGTGATGATTTTGAAAAATTCTAACATTTTGAGTAAGAGTTAAAAGAAACCACCCATGTACTAGTAAATGTCTCTGACTAGGGCAGGATTGTTCCACAATTCAAAGCAAAACTTTCCATCTTTTTCATAATATGTATAGAAAACAATAATATCTGCACACTGGAGTACACAGATGTGGCTGTTTATGGCTGTAAATAACAGCCCAGGATTTCTGGTATCTTCAACCCCACCTGGCCTTCTCAAGGCTGAGGAATCAATAACTTCTATGTACCTGTACCTGTTTTGACCTACTGGTGTGTATTCCAGTTGGAAAGCTCTGGCTTAAAGAAGATTCAAGAGCTGAGAAAGAAGCCTTTGCTAGAAAGCCGCTAACTTTAGAGAAAGAATTAACTTGCTGCATAAAGGCTGATTGGCTTTTCTATCTTTAAATTAATAAAACTGTACATACCTTCAGCAGATGAGTCCAGCATTGAAATGGTAATACGTGCTAATTCAAATACCAACTTCCTGATTGATAATAGCTGCTTGGAGAGTTCTGTTGGGAGACATTCTAAGGCTTTGTCTAGGCCCAGTTGAAAATAATGCTGGATTGATGAATGACATTTATGATAGTTACAGTAGGGAAGAGTGGCATTATTAACTGACCCAGACCATAAGGTTGATTGTACAACATAAAATATATACTCTGCAACCCTTTCTTTAAACCTATTTTAAGAATTGAACTTTAAGCTTTATATCCTAGGTTTGTTTTATTGTTTTGGGTTATAAATAATCCAGCTGACAAACCCACCTTAATGCTTTGTTGTAGTTCATTTTGCTTGACTCAGTGCTTTCAATGTAGGTGCTTATTTTTATTGTTTTGTCTCTTTTTACTGATCTTGTAATATGTAGCTTATTTTATTCCCATTTATCTTTCACTTTTCAGTAGAGATTAAGAAATGGCCTCAAAGAAGGACACAGACAAACATGGTCCTGGTTCTAGAGGAAGCTAAATGTGTTCACTTTTCCTGTGAGCTTTACACAGGAGTTTCTGCAACATAAAAGAGATCACAAGGCCAGTACCGATGAAGCCCTTGATCCTGTGCTTGTTACCTGGGAAAGACTGACAGTAATACCTTAAAAATCATTGTCTCTGTGACTTAGGAGAAACAGGACAAATTATCCTAGCATGAAATATAGCCCAAGAATATTGTGGGAATAACGCAGATTGATTTTTTTTCTCTTTTCTGAATTCACATCTGTATCCCTCTTTCAGATATTTATTGACTGCTCAGTTCAGTCCCTTTTCATATAGAGAATGAGGGTATATTTCATTTGTTCAAAACTACAAAAATAATCATACCTCTTATCTTTCAAATAAAAATCAACTTTGCTCTCAACATGTTTGATGTCTGGAACATATCAATTAATATCTTCACTTCAGAGATTCATTACATAAAATGTTGGAATCTATGCTATAGCATTACCATAAAGAGTTGGATTAAATAGGAAAATGAACAGATACACCAAAAGGAAAGTGGGCAAGACATAAACGTCAGAGGTGTTTGAACTGGAGCAACTGCATCTTCAACAGGAGCCGGGTAAAATAAGGCTGAGACCTTCTGGGCTGCATTCCCAGACTTAGAATTCCTAAAACATTCTAAGTCACAGGGTGAGAGAGGAGGTCGGCAAAAGATACAGGTCATAAAGACCTTGCTGACAAAACAGGTTGCAGTAAAGTAGCCGGCCAAAACCCACCAAAACCAAGATGGTGATGAGAGTGATCTCTGGTCATCCTCACTGCTACGCTCCTGCCAGCACCATGACAGTTTACAAATGCCATGGCAACATCAGGAAGTTACACTTTATGGTCTAAAAAGGGAGGCATGAATAATCCACCCCTTGTTTAGCATATCATCAAGAAATAACCATAAAAATGGTCAACCAGCAGCCCACAGGGCTGATCTGTCTATGGAGTAGCTATACTTTCATTCCTTTATTTTCCTAATAAACTGGCACAAATGAGGCTGGGACTTGCTGGGCTGCATTCCCGGAAAGTTAGGTATTCCTAGCCTCTACATGCTTCAGGTTAAGGGAACAGATGGATGATGTTTACTAAACAGACCCAGACTTGGGAGTGTCCTGATATCCCAATAACTTGAGAACAAAGGCATTCCTAATTTTGCTTTAAAGTCAGTAATATTAATTCTTGCAAAATATAGTAATTAAGAAAATTAATCCTTTATCACAAACCCTTGTAGCAGAGCACATCTCCTCATGATCTTTTTCTTTTTAACTTAGGTAAAAGAAAGTACCTAGGTTAAAAAAAAGTATTCTCTTTTTTTTATTTTTTATTTTTTTAACTAGGTTAAAAAAAATTGTACCTAGGGTGGACACATTCCTCCTCTTACTTTCGAGAATGCTCTACTCTGTTTATGGAGTAGCTGTTCTTTCATCATTTTACTTTCTTAATAAACTTGTTTTTGCTTTGCACTGTTGACTCACCCTTAATTCTTTCTTGCGCAAGATCCAAGAACCCTCTCTTGGGGTCTGGATCGGGACCCCTATCCTGTAACATAAATAGTGTATTCATACAATAATAAATAAAATGACTAATAAACTTAAATGTTCTATTTGCTAGTCATCAAAGAAATGTAAATTAAAATGAAACCCATGTGGAAATGTTTAAAATAAAACAACGATGTAATTCCAGGAAACAGGCACTCTCCTCCAGGGGTATAATCTTCCTGGAGGCTAGTTTGACAATATTTATCAATACCTTTAAGTGTCATTTACAGTAGTTCAACTCAGCAGTTCCTTTTCTGAAAAGATATCCTAAGAAAAATTTCTGCAAAAACTTCCTTATAGTTGTTTTTAGTGGTCTCTCTAAGAGTAACTTAGCCCTAAAGCACATAACAGAGTTTGAAAACAATACAATGAGAACCATACAGTGCTTTCATCATGTGGATACAGATTAGCAGAGGAGGGGAATTAGAAGATTTTAAAGGACCGGGGCAATCCGTGCTTGCAAAGGATGGAAAAAAAAAAAAAAAAAAAAAAGTAGCAGAAGCATCACTAATTAAGAATGAAAGTTTCCTGGATGTCAGCTTCAAATCCTGCTGAGGGTCAAGTCTGGGGCTGTCTTTTTACTTCCTTCTGTGTCTCTAATTAATTAGTGTCTTTCTCTTGTTCTTTCACCAGGAAATCTAACTTGCATGCACAAAAAAATCATCCTTGGCTTTGTCAATGTCCCTGCTAAACAAGCATGATGGGTTACACACTTCCCTTCACTCCAAATGAACAGAAACTTTCTCACTGAAATATTTAACAAGAAAAGTCATAGTTTTGTTTGTTCATTAGTTTTTTTTGTTTGTTTTGGGGGCACAATACCTTAAAGAACATCCAATTCAACACTTCAATTTTGTAAATCAAGAGATAAGACTAAAACAATAAACTGGCTTTACTGTGTTAATAACATGGCAGGGATTACAACCTGGGTGGTTAGGGAAACTCTTAGCCCAATTCCCCTATAAAGCAAAAAGGCCCCTAATCTTCACCAGAAAATTAATGCATCACTTCTCTCAAGGGCTATGAAACTGTAAACAGTAAGTTGTAAACTGTTTTCCAAGATACTTACATAAGCCACATGAAGCTATGTGTGCATTTGACCCAGAAACTTGAAGTGCATATATTACAACAAATAAAACACGGTGTACCCACAGAATTCTCAGGAGAATCTTTCTATCCAGAAATCACACTCGCTTCATGTTTTAATGTTGCTGTTAGAGAATAAGAAGGGACTTGTCCAGCTCACTGAACCTGCTTTCAACAAGATAACAGAATTATAACTGGATGTCACTGCTGCTCAGCCTTCCTGTCCCTAGGGGAATTCAGTGGGCTCAGAAATAAATATTCACCCCATGAAGCTGTGACCTTATTGTGCCCTCTATGTTTGGCTATGGATTGTGGGCAAATCCCTCTGTTATACCTGTGCCCCACTTCACTCCCTTGCGTACCTCAAAAAAAAAATTTAGAACTGTTTAGAAATGGTGGGAATTGCTTGCTTTGGTAGCACATGTACTATAATTGGAATGATACAGAGAAGATTAGCATGGCCTCTGTGAAAGGATGACATGCAAATTTGTGAAGCATATTTTTTTAAAAATGTATAAAATAATAACAACTAAAAAAATTGTGGCAATAAAAGCATCTCATTAACAGGAGGTTGAAACTAAATTCTCAAGTGGGCAATATAGACAAATAGGTGTTGTTGTTGTTGTTGTTGTTGTTTCCATGGAACGGCAATCACACTGTTAATGACTCCATAATACGAAAATGCCACTAAGTATCAAGGCACTATAATATATATTTTTAAATGTAAAATAGGTCTCAAATTCAGTAAGCAAGTGTATTCGTCTGTCCTCACACTGCTAAAAAAGACATCCAAGACTGGGTAATTTATAAAGAAAAGAGGTTTAATTGACTCACAGTTCTGCAGGGTTGGGGAGGCCTCAGGAAACTTATAATAATGGCAGAAGGGGAAGCAAACATGTCCTTCTTCACATGGCAGCAGCAAGGAGAAGCACAGAGTGAAGGTGGTGGGGGAAGCTCCTTATAAAACCATTAGATCTTGTGAGGACTCACTCAGTCACAAGAACAGCATGGACATAACCATCCCCATGATTGAATTACCTCCCACCATGTCCCTCCCACAACACGTGGGTTTATGGGAACTACAATTCAAGATGAGATTTGGTTGGGGACACAGCCAAACCATGTCAGTAAGTATAACCAAAGACCTAGATTTCTGGCGTCTCTAGTGCATGATGACAGTTGCTTTGGGACTTAATGCAAGGAAAAAAAAAATCCATTTGGTTATGTGTGCTTCAATCTACTTGATCTAATAACTGTAGGTCCCAGTGGAAATTCACACCGTGGATGTATTATCCAGAAGGAAAGAAGTTAATAAAATATTAGTGATGTACCTCTCAATAACAAATGTATTCAACATTACTTATCAAATATTGATCATATTAAAAATCTTGGCATTTTTAATATGGTTTTAATTTTTAATCTGGTTTTTAAATTAAAATCAGTACTGAAAGATGGCCTCCTACTCTTGGGAGTATTTTCTAACACTTTACTCAGAATGAACTACTTTGTATGAAGCTCATGACTTACAACATCATTGTATTTTGTCCTGTACGCATAAGGTCATAAGAAAATTCATCTTTCATACTATATATGGTTACCTAGGAAGACGGTCATGGACTGAAAGATATTTGTCACATATATGGGTTTTATTTTATGATTTAACGGCAGGATTCCATTGCTATTCATCAACTAATAAAATTTACCCATCTATGCACAGTGAGTTGTTTATTGAATACAGCAAGATTGATTTTAGCAGTTTTGGCAGGTGAAAATTAAAACCATGCTTGCTTTGTTCCAATGCTTGGTAATATGCAAAGTAACAAAGGAACTAGAAGAGAAGCAGTTCATATATTTCTTGAAGTCAGAGGTCAAGGATTGGTTCATACTGCCATTTCATTGCTCATAAAATATAAAATAATACAGCAAACTTCCTCATGAGAGGGGCAGCTGTTATTATTGTAGCAAGTTATATTTGAAAACAGCGGCCTTTTTCAGAGATGGATAGCTATCATTATTATCATGAGTATGCAAAGATTATACAGAAATCAGCAATTAATACTTCACAAAATTACATGAAAATGGCAAATGAAGTTCCGCCTTGATCTTTGCTGAATTAACATTCCAGGCATGTGGTCATATTGAAATTTTAACTCACAATGATGGGTCAGTTTCCTATAGATTCAGGGCTGTTGTTGGGATCTTGGAATTCCTAAAGGAATGCATACTTAGCACATCACCTTGCCAATCCATTAGTCTATTTCAATTTGTTAATGGATAGCTACTGAGAAACTGGCTGCCCTTCTCAAGAGTATGACATTTTTGGGGAATGAATAAATCTTCAAGGCATGATAGAAAAGATGAATAACAGTGGGCTCCCCTTATCCATAGTTTAGTTTTCCTCAGATTCAGTTACCCATGATCAACTGCAATCTGAAAATATTAAATGAAAATTTCAAAAAATAAACAAATCATAAGTTTTTAATTGTACACTCTTCTGAGTGGTGTAATGAGTAGTGTAATGAAATCTTGCACTGTCCCCCACCATCCTGCCTGGGATGTGAATGATCTCCCTGTCCAGCATTATACATATAATGCTGTATGCATTATGGACCTGCCCATTAGTCACTTAGTAGCCATCTCAGTCATCAGGTCAACTGTCTTGGTATCCCAACGCTTGTGTTCAAATCATCCTTATTTTACTTAGTAATAGGTCCAAAGCATGAAAGTAGTGATGTTGGCAATTGTGACATGCCAAAGATAAGCAGTGTTTTTCTTGAATAAAAAGGTGAAAGTTCTCAACTTAATAAAGAAAAAAAAAATCACATGCTGAGATTGCTAAAATCGGAGGTAAGAATGAATTGTCTGTCAAATTGTGAGAAGGGAAAAAAATTGTGCTAGTTTTGCTGTTGCACCTCAGACTTGGAAAGTTACTGTCACAGTATATGATTAGTGCTTAGTAAATATGGAAAAGGCATTAGCATGAACAGAAACGTGCTGATTGACTGTAATGGCGTTCAGTAATATCTGTGGTTTCAGGCATCCACTTGGGGTCTTGGAGCATATCCCCTGCAGATAAGGGGAGACTACTGTAGTACAATCTATGTCTGGAGGTTATCAAAAACATAAAAAACACAACTGTCAGTTTACAGATTTGTGTCTAAATCTAGTTTCTGTTTCTCAATATGTTGTGTAAAACACAATGAATCTCAAGGTGATATGTATCTTTTTTAAAAAATATCGGTAGTGTTTTTTAAATTGACACATGATATTTGTACATATTCATGAGGCATATGTGATATTTTGTTACAGGAATAAAATGCAAAATTATCATGTCAGGATATTTAAGTTATCCATCACCTCCAGAATATGATCGCCTAAAGTAGAAGTCCTCCCTTCAAATTATTTTAAAATATACAATGCATTGTTAACTATAGTCCTCCAACTCTGCTACCAAGCGTTAAAACTTACTCCTTCTATCTAACTGTATATTTGTGCCCATTAACCGACTTTTTTTTCATCTTCTCAACCATCATTGATTTCATTTGGTCTGTTTTTGCTTTTGTAAAAAATATTAACAGCTTTCAATGATAACCAAAGTAAAATTTATTTGTTGGAAATCCAAAGGATTTTCTTTTTCCTCAGGAATAGCAAAGAGTATATTGGCTATCTGCTTCTTGGACTTCTTCAAAAATGCCTTAGAAATTCTATCCTAATGCATTTTTCTGCAAATATGTAAATTAAGGTACAGTGTATATGAGACAAATGAGGGAAATTCTACAGAAAAAAATAGCTTGTGTACTTAAAAAGGTGTCAAGATCATGAAAGATTAAAAGCATTTTTAAAAGGCTTAAATTCGTCTCCAAAAAGGGGGACTGGTTGGGTTGAAGACATAGCTACCAAAGACATTTTTAGGACAATTTTCAAAATTTGGGTATGGATAGTGTGTTGGACAAGAGCGTTATATCAATACTAAGTTTTCTGATTTTGATTATTTAACTGTGGTTACGTAAATAACAGCTTTTCTCTTAGCAAATACACTCTGAAGTATTTAGGATAAAAAACTGATGTCTCTGATTTATCCTCAGGTTATTGAGATAATTTACTCTCAAATAATTCAGAGAGAAAGTATGCCTGAGAGAGTGCATAGGGTGAGCACAAAATGATCTAGTAAAATAGATTCACCGCATGTTAACAACTGATGAATCTTAGAAAAGGATATGCATTTTTGCACTATTCTTGTAGTTCTTCATAAACTGAGAATTATAACCTAAAAAATTATAAAAAGACAAATTTGCATAGTAGTAAAATTAAAAAAATATGATTTCAAAGATAATCATAATAATTAGGGTAATACTTTGCATTTGTATATTAACTATTATATTAATAAAGCTTCCAAATACATGATTTGACTTTATTCCTGAAACAACTCTACAATTTTTTTTTTTTTTTTTTTTTTTTTTTTTTTGAGACGGAGTCTCGCTCTGTCGCCCAGGCCGGACTGCGGACTGCAGTGGTGCAATCTCGGCTCACTGCAAGCTCCGCTTCCCGGGTTCACGCCATTCTCCTGCCTCAGCCTCCCGAGTAGCTGGGACTACAGGCGCCCGCCACCGCGCCCGGCTAATTTTTTGTATTTTTAGTAGAGACGGGGTTTCACCTTGTTAGCCAGGATGGTCTCGATCTCCTGACCTCATGATCCACCCGCCTCGGCCTCCCAAAGTGCTGACAACTCTACAATTTTAAATGTCTTTATTCCCATTTTAAAGATGAAAAAACTTGGAAACAGAACTATTCCAGTTCCTTAGTTCAAAAGATTTTGATTTGTAGTCTTTTCTGTGATAACTACACCACAAACTGTGCAAATTGCCCTCATTTAGGTCATGAGGCAAGCCTGTGGTTTGTCCTGTGCTCACTAACCAGCTGTCAAGCTGTAAGAATTTGGGTGGTTGCAGATCAGGAAGCAGCTCTGTAATTCAGAATCAATCTTCTAAGCTGTCTTGTCTCTATTTTCATAGCATGTTATTGGTTTTCATTCCAAAGTTGTGCTAGCTCTTCCTGGCATAATCGATGGTGCAGGTGCACGGTTTTAGGAAGGAAACAATGGGAAATCCTACTGGGTTGTGCTGCATTACAAATAGAAAAAGTCAATGTTAGACAAGTAGAATTGAGAAAATCATGAGGGAAATAAATTTTATTTTCATGCTTTCAAGAATTACATCTAAAAGTAGGTATTTTATTGGAAAGGTATAGGTGTTCTTTAGGGAGAGAGAGGAAGAAAGGGAGGAAGAGCTATGATTTCATATTTCCAGAATTCTTATTTCACTAGAATGTAAGATTTGTCTTCTGAATTTAGACAGATTTTTCTTTATTTTAAAATTACCTATTTCTGATTCTTCATGTGTAGTCAAATATTTGTAAGCAAATAGTGTGTTTACAAAAAAAATTTGTAGACCACAGCTTTAACGTTTCTAAGTAGTGTTCATTACACATCCAGGAAAAATAAAAGACACAACTTAAGTGCTAAATATGTAAGTTTCAGTGTTATAAATGATTAGGTGATTCATTCTTTCATTGAGCAAGTATTCATCAATTCACAGAGAAGCAGAAAAGCATGAAGGCTGAAATCATGTCATTTGGAGCCAGACTATTTGGGTTCAAATATAGGACGCTGTTTCTTAGAAACTGTGATCTTGAGAACATTTCTTAATATCTCCAAACTTCAATTTCTTCATTCGTAAAATGGAGAGAATGACTGAACCTACCTCATAGGGAGGTTGCGATGATTCAAAGTATAAATATATGTGAAACACTTAGAACAATGCTTGACACATTGTTAGCATTTAATAGATTTTGATATTATTCAAAGTGTAATCTGAGAAATATTCATTGAGCATCTAGTATAATCCAGGTAATCCACAGTAAAGCATGGGATTATGCAGTTATTTGGGGAATAAAGAAATGATTCAGAAAAAGATCCTGCCTTAGTATGTGCATTAGTTATCTATTGCCATATAACAAGTCTCCACCCTCATTTGCAAACTCAGCAGCTTAATAATAAATTCTTATTATTTTACAGTTTCTTTAGGTCAAGAATTCAATGACTTAACCTCTACCTCAGCTGAGATCTCCTCTGAAGGCTTAATTCAAGAGTATTCACTTCCAAGCTCACTCATGGTTTGCTGTCAATGTTCAGTTTCTCACAAACTATCAGACTGACGGCCTTACTTCCCCCACTGGGTGTTTGGCTTGAGGCCTCTCTCAGTTCCTTGCTACATGAGCTTCTCCAAAGGGAAGTTTGCAATATGGCAGCTGGCTTCTCTCAGAGTGAGACAGCGAGAGATCAAGGGAGGGCCCACAGAAGGAAGCTATGGTCTCTTTGTAATCTAATATTGAAAGTGACATCCTACAATTTTTATGTATTCTAATTAGAAACGAATCTCCAGTCCAGCCCACAATCAAGGGTGGCAAGTACATTAGTGGCCTTCTAGTATAGAAGAAAAGATATAGCTAAATAATCCCAACATGAGGTATGTGGTTATAGAGAAGAGAAAGGGTTTCTCAATGAGGGAATCTCGACATGCTAAACAGAGAACCTGAGAGCATACCACTGTATTCTTTTAGGTTTGTCTACATTGGTGAGGAAAATTACTGAACATACTCTAATAATCCTTATGACTCTACTACACACTGTAAGTCTCATGCACCAGATGCTCCAAAAAGGTTCATATAAATCAAAACACACCCTGACAGAAATAGGCCTCATTGGGACATAATTGTGGGAAGAGTAACAATTATCTGGTGTTGCCTACTCAGAACAGTAGAATGTTGCTGATAAAGGTGCTACTTAGTACAGGTGCAGATTGAAGTGTACCACAATATACCACTTCAAAATATTTCTGCTTGGCATACAGATTATTTTGACTAAAGGCAATTGACGACCAGTAATATAGAAAAAGCTCTTTAGCACCCGCTAACTGCCTGAACTAGAGTATACATTTCCTCTTTTGCAAAAGAAATTTATGTTTATAAAGGGAGTTTCTATTTATAAAAATGTCTTTTTACCAGAAAAAAAGCTACTCTTGGAGACCACTCTTACCACCCAACTGATAGCTGCATAACCACAACAACAAAAAACCCTTATTTACCACACATTTCCTCTCCTTCACTTCTTACAACTTGCTTCTCTCATCCCGAAGCTCAAAACCATTTTCCCCTTGTTTAGCCTAAAGATGGTATATAAGCTTCAAGCATCTGGCCGCATCCTAGTGTTTTCATTTCTTTGTGAATTATGTACACGGTAGTTTCACCAGAATAGTTTCCTGAATTTACCAATTTCCTTGCTTTAAAAATTTAAACGTTTGGCTTGCTGGTTATATTGAATATCTACTACCACTTCTTTCTCAATGGACTGATTTTCTATAGAATGGCCAGAGGTAAATTTGAAGAAATCTTTATATCTAATGTGCCAAATATAAAACAGTAAAATGACCATGGAATTTGAGCCCTATTTTTTGTTTTAGAGTTGTCCCCTTGCGAGGGAGTGGGGGAGTGGAAGGCACAGTATAATTTTTTTCAGCATTACCTGAACACTTTTAAATCTTGAATTAAAAGTTCTATTTTTTTTTTACAGTGGAAGTGAATTTTTATTACCTTGGCTCTTAAAGTTCTATTTTTTTCCATGTGTATATATTGGCACAAATAATTCTGGTGACAATAAATCTTATTCCTTATTCCCTGCTAACTTGAGAATTACTTAAGAATTAATATAACCATCTCTGTTCTGCTTTTTGCATACAGTACCAAGTTTACCATGGAATCTTAAGGGTTTCATTCTGCTTTAGAATTCAATTAGTCTTTGACTTCTTGAGCTTCAGACAAATATTCTTCTAGTGTTTGTAAGAAACATTGTTCTCTCCCCTGGAGCCACTGTGTGAAGTCACAGAGTGTGATCCTGACAAGCAAAGCCTCCTCTTTGACCTGACTTCTGGAGCCAGGATTGCCCCTCTTCTAGCCTCTGCTTTTCCAAAGGGTTGACTTTACTTGTCTCAGTCCTTTCAGTTTCCAGCTTAAGGCTTAATAAATTCTAGAATTGCATTTTCAAGGTAAAATAGGAAAGATTTATTCACAGTTATCTTGTTTACGCAAATGCAAAGACAGGATAAATCATTCATTTACTAATGTTTCTCCTCACTGTGGGCATTAACAATGACCTCTCCATCATAAAACACAGTAGATTAATTCAAGCAGGAAGAAAAAATCTCCACTTGAATTATTTAAGTGAAGGTTTGAACTGTGCTTATATTGATAAGATAATATTTCAATTTAACACTTAACTTATAAAGCCAGAACAATAAATAAATAAACAAATAGAATGTGGATGAAGGTAGAGTACAGTGTTTATTCCTTCTTGGATCTAAATGTAAATTCTGCCAGGTGGCGTCGTTGCCAGTAATTAGAGAATTTAAAAATAATAAAATTTCACTGGAAAAAATCCAACCCTATATTATTTTTACTTCAATGTAAAAATGCTTTATGTAGCCTTATAAAATTCCAACTGTACACTGTCTTTAATTTTAGTAATTTATAACTTTATAATTTCTGTACCATGCTTAAAATGTTGCTTACTCTAATTAGCTTATGGTCAACAGTATCTTTAATTAGAAATATTGGTAATCTGTCCCCTGAAGCATTTTATTGAGTGTGTTTATGGTTCCAGGATGATTATCTTAATGAACAGAATGATAAAAAGTACCATTAAACAGAAACAAAATAGAATACTCATCAGGGCAGAATAATTTTTTTTCTATAAAAGAACAATTTGTGCTTAAAATACAGTATTTAGAATACAGTATTAAAACTTTAGATAAGTTGATGAATGTATTTTTGAAATTCTATTAATAGTGAGTAACTGATATTATGATTTGGTTCTGACAGTTAGAGGTGGAGTCTAGGATGAAGGACACAGAGTTATAAAAAATGACCAATCCACTAAGAAATAGTTCAGATGGCATCAATAATATTGCTGAAACCAAAATTTATATGAGTAATATAGAAAAGGTATGTGAAAAAAGGACTGGCAGTCTGTGTTTAAAAAGGAATTCACTGTTGGGGATGGGGGAGAAATCAGCCTGAATTTCCCTCTCAGTACTCTTATCAAGTGCGTACATTAAAATGGGTGGTGGTTATTTACAATCTTTAGATTTTATTTAGATGGTTGTGTTTTCATTAGCAATCTTTATCCTCTGAAATATTTGTAAGCATTTCCTATATAATTTCACTCAACATCGATTTTTGTATTTTATGGCATTGAGAAATGTATACTTACTGAAATTTTAAAGCTAGCATACATAATGTCTAGCAATGTCTACACTAAGTTTCACATGGCACCAGAAAACATTTAAACTAAGACAGGAGATATATTTGAGACTCTATATAAGTTTTTAGATAGAAAATCATGTATATTGAAAAATGTATACATCCAAAGTAAGGTGGCTAGCTAGCGCCTCTACTATCAGATAGATCTTCATAATGTTTGTGCAAATAAAAAATGACCAGACTCTTCTGAATTCTCAATGTCTTCATCATACACTTACTAATCAACTCAGATATTGCACTGATTCTTGACTTTCTGGGAGGATAGGAGATCATAGTTTCCTTTCAAAATTTGGTTACAGCTATGGAAAGTCTCTCTAGAAAAATGTACATGCACATTGATAGTTACGGAGAATGGTGGATCTCCTGGAGCCATTCATAAATCCCCTAAGGAATTTAGGAAGGTTAAACAGGGAATAGCTACAATATTAACTGTCAATCAGCTTTCTAAGAAGATTAGATATCTTCAAATGTAAAATGGTAATAATAATACTTTCTTCATAGAGTTGAGAATATTCTTTATGATTAGTTGTAGTGTTTGGAATAGATCCTGCATATAATAAATAGACAACACATTGTAGATTTTAGGAAAGAAATGTATTAGTGGAATTTTATTGTTCTATTTTATTTACTATCAATTTGTTAGTACTATTAGCATTCCAAAAACTGAGGAAATTCTGTTTTTAAACACAAATCATTCTTTTAGTATATTCAACAAATCTTTCTCTAGTGTTTTGTTTTATTCTTTTACATTACTTTTCAACTGTACACATGGTTTTGGTTTAACATTTTGAATCACCTTAGCATCACTAAATTTGAATGATTTCTTACATATTCAAAAGTAAAACAGTTCCTAAATTTATAATGATACTAAACATAAATCCATTGGGTACCTTTGGAGGTTGCTAGAGAAGTAATGTATCAATCTGAAAATGGATACAAGAGAAGTAATCAAGCACTTAACCTTGACTATCCTAGACCAATTGTACCACAGGAGAATTTTCTCTTTATAGAAGTATTCTAGCTAATACATGAAGAAGGAATGATAAAAATAAAACACTTTAATTTTGTAATACTCTTATGAAATACTGTCATCTCTCTTTATCCATAGGGAATGCATTCCAAGGTCCCTAGTGGATGCCTGAAACCGCAGATAGTATTGAACACTACTGCAGTCAATTTTAACACATTTCTTGTCATGTCTTCCAACCATAAATCTAAAGTCTTTCCCACTTTTAGTGCTTATCTCATATTGTGGCTGTTACTTTTGCAGTTTGAAGTACAAAGCAAAAGTAGTAAAAAAAAATTTTCCCACTTCACAGTTTGACAGATATAACACTCATTGCTTCCATAGATCTTAACAACTATAGAATAAGTTTTTTTCTTTCTTTATTAATTGGAGAATTTTCACCTTTTCACTTTAAGGAAGCACTTTATGGCTTCTCTTTGGCATATCCAAATTGTCAGCATCATTTATCTTGCACTTTGGGACTATTACTAAGCAAAGTAAGGGTGGCCTGAACACGAGCACTGGGATACCGCAACAGTTGATCTGATAACAAGATGGCTACAGAGTGACTAACATACAAGTAGCATAAGACGTGCTAGACAAAGGAATGACTCACATCTCAGGCAGAACAGAGCTGGAAGGCACAGACAACACAACACTTCATTATTCTAACCAGAATGGTGGGCAATTTGAAATTTATGAAGTTTATTTCCAGAATTTTTTATTTAATATTTTTTGGACTGCCATTGATCTGTTCTGAAATTGCAGAAAGCAATACTGGGGATAAGGGTGGACTACTGTAATGAATCCAGGCAATTCCCAAAATCAACTCTAATAAGATAAATAGAGAGGGAGAGGGGAAAAAAAAAAAAGATGATACATGCCTCTTGACAGAAATACACAATTACACCTATGAAATATTCTTGTCAAAAATTTGAATCTAAACAGATCAGGACTCTGGATTTAAGAATTATTTTATAGAGGACACAGAGGTCAGGTAAAGATTTTAAATAATACCATTAGGATGGATGCAGCAACAACTGTACTGTGAAAAACTCTACAAAACAAATGAACAGCTTCTTTGAAAATAAATCTCAGAGGAGGACAAAGTGGGAGGGGGGCCTACAGAATAAAAAAAAAAAAGATGATCTATCAACCAAATTCAATGTGTAAACCTACCTTGTTTGTATGATTCTATCAAACCAACAATCAAGCAAAGAAATATTTGATGATATTAAGAGATTGTCTAGAGTTTTAGCCTCAGTTGTCAAGAATCTCCTCCCAGATAATCCCATCAACCAAGAAAGAGTAACTTTATAACAGGAGAGGAGATGGGAGGTCATACGATGCTCACACAGACTTCATCACAGGCTATCGACTATTTATCTGAGGGGCCATTGGTCTTTTCAAAAAATCTTTTATTCTCCCCTAAGTTGCCTAAATCTCCCCTCCCCTCTTCCTTGGGCATATAGAAGCTTCTAGATGTCACTGGGTTTTGGAGTAGTCACTTCTCTTGTATGTGATGCCCCCATGCATGTAATAAATTTATATAACTTTTCTTCTGTTCATCTGTTTTTGGATTTTTTAAATCTTTATTTGTTTGTTTTTCATTGATACATATTAGATGTACATATTTTTGAGGTAGATGTGATAATTTGATACATTCATATACTCAAATCAAGGTAATTGGGAGACCCGTCACCTGAAATATTTATCTTTTCTTTATGCTAGAGATATTTGAATTATTCTCTTCTAGCTATTTTGACATGTACAATTGATTAATGTTAACTATATTCGCTTTGCTAATCTATTGAACACCAAGTCTTATTTCTTGTAAGTGTATAATTGTACCCATTAGTCTACCTTTTTTCTTTCAATTTAATTGGTAGCCTAGCCAAAGAACCTAGAAGGGTGGAGGGAAGCTATCTTTCACTTGCCGACAGCACATAAATATGTATACAATTACATATTATTGCAAACGAGACAAACTAAAAGTAAGGTAAGACAAAAATAACAATTTCACAATGGAATCTATTATTGAAGGCTTCCTTTAAATTTCAGGGTAGATTAGACAAGAATCAAACTTACCAGGAAAATTGGGGTAAATTGGGAGACATTCATGAAAATAGGTTTTATCTTTTTTCTGTTTATAATTTTCTTGTCCTTATGCTTTGAATGGAAATTGATGCATTGGGCCTTCATTTAGACAAATGTGGTCTATTTATGTATGAGTTAGATGATGAAATAAGTGCCTGAAGCTTGAATGTTCAGGTTAATCAGAATACTAAATGGTCATTAAATAATAACTACACTCAAAGTTTCTTAATTATGTATAGATGTTGAGTTGGTGGGAGGTCCCAGCTGACATAGGACTCTGTCCTTGGCCGAAGTCTGTTCAACATGACCTAAATAAGGCCCAAGAGTAGCAGCTCATTATTTTACTTTTTTCTGCATGGTGAAAAAAACACTGCATTCTCTACTTTCATACTTATTCTTAATTTCTGGAAATAAAATTGGTAATAACAATGAAGTGATTTCTGGAAATAAAACTGGTAATAAAATAAAATAAATTAAAAATAAATTAAGTAAAATAAAATAAAAATAAATAAATAAATAAAACAAAAATTGGTAATAAAATTGGTAATAAATAAATATATTGGTAATAATTTCTGGAAATAAAATTGGTAATAATGCAATATTATTGCACAAACAAATTTAAGAGAAATTATAATTTAGCAATGGGTGTGTGGATAATTCTTATTTGAAAGGAGGTGCATGCATTTAAAAGTTTATTTTTACACAAAATATAAGCCTAAAGTATATGACTACTTTTTCTTGTTATCCAATGAGTCAAAGAAACTAAAACCTAATTTATAATGATAGAGTTAAATCAATCAAAGAACCGAAAGTATTATTTGTCAAGACAATTCTGAGGATATAATGATAAAGCATCTTTCCAAATTGTGTGCACTGTTCAAATTTTCCAATATAACATTCCAAGAAAAGTCCTCAAATGAATACAAAATCTGTGTCATCAGTGAAATCTAGGAGAGTTTAGGATACCAGCAAAAGCCTTTTGCCAACTCAGATTCAAAACAAAAAATTATCATTATAGTCAATAAGATAATGCAGACAATAGGAATATTTACCATTATACTAAAAAGAATTATGCAGCTCGTAAACCCAAATAGAAAATTTCTTCACTAGAGACAAGTTCTCAGAGAGAGGATAAATATAGAAATAGAGCAATAAGGCAGGGGAGAAAAGAGAGATTCAACATTACTCAGCTATTACAAAAATAAATAGGCAAATGATAAGAATATCTAATTTATTGTAAGAGCCTTGAGGCAAGAAGTAAGCATCCTAATGAAAACAGGGTTGCGTGAAACAAGAATTATATGAACCACACGGTAAAAATCTGACAGAATCAGAATTATTGTCTTAGTCACAGTGGTAAAAATTATTACCAGTTGATTACTGAGAAAGAACTAGAGAATAGTAGAGCCCACTACGTATCTTTTCTAGTTTGCTGCATATAAACACATAGTAAACTATATTTCTCTCTGTTCATTAAAGAGTAAGGGTTTGATAATTCTCAACAAATGCTACAACCACCTTCATAATACCTTAAGTAAAAGAACTTCTCTGGTTTAATTGTAGTGTAGGAGAGGAAGAACATTTTTTTTCCCTTATACTCTGTTAGGTTTACCAGCTGGGCCCTTGAATCAAATTGGCAAGAAACACATTAAAAAGATGAAAAACAAAACAAAACAAAACAGATTTATATATCTCTAGGGGATATGCTGGTTAAAGAATTCAAAGTTTTATTTAGACAGGAAGAATAAGTATCAGTGGTCTATTGCACCACATGGTAACTGTAGTTAATAATAATGCATTGCATATTTCAAAATTGCTTAAGGAGTAGGTTTTGAATGTTCTCATCACAAAAAACTGATATGGACGTGAAGTGAGGGATATATTAATTAGCTTGATTTAATCATTCCATAACGTATAGATATATCAAAACATCATATTGTGCCCCATAGTTACATAAAATTATTTGTTACTTAATAAAATATAATAAAAGGAATAAGATCTAATGTTTGGTAGCACAATAGGGATGACTATAGTTAACAACAACAACAACATGTATTTCAAAACAACTAAGAGACTGTAACTGAAAGCCTCCTAACACAAAGGAATGATAAATGCTTGAGGTAATGATATCCCAATTACTCTTATGTGATCATTACACATTGTATGCTTGTATCAAAATATCACATATACCCTGTAAATATATAGTGATTATGTATCCATAATTAAAAACTTAAAAAGAAAAAATATGATCCAAAACGTATGAAATATTAACTTAAATGGGATCTTTTGAATAAATTAATAAAAGTATAATTTTTAATTCTAAGATGATTTACTTGTATTAGTGATTCCTTAACTCAAGTGTGTAAATCTTTGGATAGCTACAAATATTGAAAGGCTATTGTCAAATGTACATTCCTCTTATTTTTTTAAAAAAGTATATCTTCTTCGAGTTCCCCCCAGGTAAGGAGAATACGTATATAATTAACCATAACTTCTTAAATTATCTCTCCCTAGAGGGCTATAATACAAAGGACAGATAATAACAGGTAAATGTCAAGCAAGTGGAGAAGTCGGAACCTTCATATATTGCTGGTGGCAATATATAATTGTGCAGCCACTTTGAAAAACATTTGGAATGTTCTTCAAAAGTTTAAATGTAAAATTGTTACCATATGATCCGACAATTCCATGCTTAGTTATACAAACAAGAAAATCAAAAACATATATCCACAGAAAAACATGTAAATAAATGTTCATGTCAGCGTTAGTCATAAGAGCCAAAAGTGGAAAAAACCAAAATGCTGTAAATTAAGGAAGGGACAAATCAAATATGGGATATTCACATAATGGAAAATTATTTGGCCGTAAAAATTATTGGCCATAAAGAGAATGAAGTCCCAATGCATGGTACTACATGAATGAACACTGAAAACATTACGCTAAGTAAAAGAAGACAGTCACAGAAGATGGCCTATTGTATTATGCAACTTGTATGAAATGCCCATAATAAATAAATCTATATAATGAAAAAGTAGATCAGTGATCGCCAGGGCCTAGGGGGAAGGAAGAATAAAGAGTGACTTTTAAAAGTATGGGGTTTCCTATTGGGGTGAAGAAAATGTTCTAAAATTAGACTGGGCATGGTGGCTCACACCTGTAATCCCAGCACTTTGGGAGGCTAAGGCAGGCAGATCACTTGAGGCCAGGGGTTCGAGAGTAGCCTGGCCAACGTGGCAAAACCCTGTCTCTACTAAAAATACAAAAAAAATTAGCTGGGCGTGGTGGTGCATGCCTGTAATCCTAGGTACTCGGGAGGCTGAGTCATGAGAATCACTCGAACCTGGGAGGCAGAGGTTGCAGTGTGCTGAGATCATGCTGGACAACAGAGTGGGACTCTGTCTCTAAAAATAAAGAAGAGAAAACAAAATGTTCTAAAGTTAGATAGTGATGAGAGTTGAACAACTACGTGAATATACTAAACCGCAATTGTACATTTTTAAAAGGTGAATTTTATGATATGTGGATAAAGGTGTTTAAAAAATTAACCTTATAATAGCCGATATAGTTTGGATCTGTGTTCCCCCTGAAATCTCATGTTGGATTGCAATCCCTAGCGTTGGAGGTGGGGCCTGATGCAAAGTGATTGGCTCCTGAGGGCGGTTTCTCATGAATGGTTTAGCACCATCCTCCAGTGCTGTTCTCCCGATGGAACTCTCATGAGATCTGGTTGTCTAAAAGTGTGTAGCCCCTCTCCCCACCTCTGGCTCCTGCTCTGGCCATGTAAGATGTGCCTGCTTCCCCTTCACCTCCTGCCATGACTGGAAGTTTCCCAAGGCCTCCCCAGAAGCTGAGCCAATGCTCAGCTGTATAGCCTGCAGAACTGTTAGCCAATGAAACCTCTTTTCTTTATAAATTACCCATTCTCAGGTGTTACTTTATAGCAAGGCAAGAACAGACTAATACAAGAGTTAACTTTTTTCTTTCTTTTAATGACAGGGTAAGCCTTCAGTGATGGACAGGTGTCACTGGAAAGGATCTGCCAAGGAACCAGGACAACATCAGCATAAGCACCTGCAAATATGCTCTGATTTTTCTTTATATATGGTAAGATGTAAACACAAAATAATTATTAGACAGTAAGTGTCTCAAAAATACAAAGGAGCGAGTAATCAGTGAAAAATGGTTTACATAGAATAGAATCTTGAAAGGTATGATGAGCAAAGAAAGAGAAAAGATGTTAAAATCAAAGGAAAAGGTATACTCCAGACCACAGAAATTAAGACGTTAAGAAGTTAAGATGTTAAGGATGCTTAACCTTGTAAGAATAAAATGCTTATATTTCACAAATACAAAACACACAATTAATCTTCTTGAATTAATAAAAAAATTCACTATACTTCTCAAATATGAATGGACTTCAACATATTTTCTGTATTACAGTCATAAAATTTTTCTTGGATGCTGATTAAAAAAATCTTACTTTATCTTTGAATTGTCAAATATTGTGTAAAATGTAATATTTTATTAATAATTTAATTTCAATAAGGTGATATTTATCTCTGTATGTTTATTAACCTTTTACAGAGAATACTAGGTATTTGATTAATTATTGAATAAATAAAAGAGTTAAAAATGAGAATTTAAAAATGCAATGTGTTTCCATGATGATGTTTTTAAATTAGCAAATTAGAAATTGTATTTCTGTCTGCTAGATCCAAATTTCCAAATAATGATTAACTAGGAGCAATTGACAATTTACCTTGAGTGTAAAATCTTGATAGTTGAAACCCTGAAAAAAATTCCTACCTAAAAATTTAGATTACCCTATAGAGAATTCAAAATTTTCCAATTTGGAGGTCATTTTTATATTTAAGTTGGATGTTGGTTAACAATTATTTGGTTTACCTATTTAAATTATCATCTATAACTTCTGTCATTAGCTCAGTTTCCCTTTTGTAAATTACGGTTTATGTTAGATAGTACAAAATATTTATTTTGAAGTAAGCTACATCTGTTTCCAACTCTGACTCTATTATACTAGATGTGATCTTGGTTACACTGCTTAACTTTTCTCCTACATTCATCACAAATGAAAAATAAAGAGAAGCAATGTTTAGATCAATATTACAATTACTTATTAAAATTAAATACCATCACAAAAAACTGACTTGAAATGGATCATAGACTTAAATGTAAAAGCTAAAACTATAAAACCTCTCAAAGAAAACACATAAGAAAATGTTGGCAACTTTAGACAGACAAAATAATTTCTTAGGTTAAGACCTGAAGAGTATAAACTACAAAAGAAAAAAAACGGATAAATTAGAAAAATCGATATTTAAAATTTAAAAATCATCTTTATGAAAACAAAAAGGTATGCCACAAAATGGGAGACACTGTTCAACGAAAGTCTTGTATTTAGAATATAGAACGAACTTTATAACTCAATAATAAAAATACAAACTATCCAATTTCAAAAATTAGGCCAGAGATTAGAAAAGATACCTTCCAAAAATATTTGAAAGGTTAATAATTTCATCAACATACGCTTATTATTAAGGAAATGCAATCTATTAACACAATGAGATACTACTACAAATTCTTTAGAAAAGCCAAAAGTAAAAATGATGATAATATCTAGTTTGGGAAATGACATGTGATGTATAACAGGCTGGTCAGAATGTAAAATTGGACAGCTATATTGAAAAACTGGGAGTTTATTATAAAATTAAACACACATATACCAGACCCAGAAATTCCACCACATGAATTCCCCAAGAAAAATGTAGATACATGTCCACACTAAGTCTTGTACCTGCATATTATAACAGCTTTATTTGTAAATACTCCAAATTGGAAACAACCCAAATATTTACTACTCTCACCTTTTGGGTTTTTGTACATGTTATTCCCCCTTCTTTGAAAAAAGTTAAATCCTTCCTTTCAACAAAAAACCTACTCATCCTTTAGGCATAAGCCAAAGTTTGCCTCTTGCAAGGAAGCCATCCCTGGTCCCTTTCTAAAATGTGGGTTAGGTTCTTCCTAAGTGATTCAAACATAGTAGGTGGGACTTGACTCTGGAGGCAAGACCAAAGTGAGGACTAGCTAAAACAGGTCCAGGGCAGAAGCAACTTTCCATAAGACATGCCCAAAAGTGTGCCATGTCATTTTACCATTGCCATGGAAACAGCCCAAAGTTACTGCCCCTTTCTATGGCAATGACCTGATGACCGAGAAGTTACCACCCTCATCTAGAAACTCCTGCATAAGCCGCCTCTTAATTTGCATGCAATTAGAAGTGAGTATTAATATGAGTGCAGAACTGCCTCTTAGCTGCTATTCTGGGCACACGCCTATGGGGTAGCACTGCTCAGCAAGGACAATACCTCTGCTGCTGCTGTACACTGCCACTTCAATAAAAGTTGCTGTTTAACACCACCAGCTCACCTTTGAAATCTTTCCTGGGCAAAACCAAGAACCATCCCATTTGAGGCTTGTCTGTCCTTGCATCGGTCTTACAATTCCTGTGCTCACCTTCATTGTATATGTTCTACATAGTGCTACAAAAGCCTATTAATCTCTAAGCAATTCAGAATGGGGACTACGTGGTGTTTTGTTGCTGATTCTCCACTCTTAGAATCATTCCTTTATTCAACAGATAGTTTGAGTGGCTACTGCGTGCATGGCAATTGGGACACAGCAATATACAAAACAAGACCTCTGTGTTACGGGATTGAATACATTCCAGTGCAACACATAGTAAGATCTCTGTTTTAAAGGCTTTCAAAACTCGCCAAACTGCTTTCCACACTGGCTGAACTAATTTACATTCCCACCAGCAGTGTATAAGTGTTCCCTTTTCTTTGCTATCTTACCAGCATCTGTTATTTTTTGACTTTTTAATAATAGCCATTCTGACTGGTGTGAGAATGGCATCTCATTGTGGTTTTTATTTGCATTTTGGTTAGTGACATTGAACACTTTTTCATATGCTTGTTGGTCACTTGTATGTCTTCTTTTCAAAAGTATCTCTTCATGTCCTTTGCCAACTTTTTAATGGAGTTGTTTTCTGCTTGTAAATTCGTTTAATTTCCTTATAAATTCTGGATATGAGACGTTTGTCAGATGTATAGTTTGCCAACATTTTCTTCTATTCTCTAGGTTGTCTTTTACTCTGTTGATAGTTTCTTTTGCTGTGTTAGTTTAATTAGGCCCCATTTGTCAATTTTTGTTTTTGTTGCAATTGCTTTTGGCATGTGCATCATGAAATCTTTGTCTAGTCTTATTTCCATAATGGTATTTCCTAGGTTATCTTCCAGGGTTTTTATAGTTTTAGGTTTTATATTTAAGTCTTTAGTCCATCTTGAGGTGACTTTTGTATATGGTGTAAGGAATCGTTTAATAGATGAATGAATATGAAAATAAAATTGCAGAGTCAATTGTCAATCCATAAAATAGGCTAGGCTGGGCATGGTGGCTCATGCTTATAATTCCCAAGACTTTCGGAGGTGGAAGCAGGAGGATCACTCGAGCCTAGGAGTTCGAGACCAGCCTGGGCAAGACAGTGATATCTAATCTCTACCAAACAAACGAACAAAAGAAAATGTAAAAGTGGCTATATTTAAAATCAAATATTAAAAGGAAGTTAAAAGTTCATCTTTTTGAATTTATACTCATTGGGGTTTATCAAATTCAACAATATTTTTGGCCAATACGTTACATGCCAACACTTTTACTAAATTTATTCCATCATACAGTATCAAAAAAAAATTAATTCAATTAATTCTATTCAAAAATAGTGATAAGAAGCATTCAAACCATTAAAGTGAAAGTAATATTCTGGAGGCAAAATAAAAATCTACTTGGATTATCTGCCCAATTAAACTTATATCACCTGTAAAATAACAAAACATGTGGATGGTGTTCTCAGTGCTTAGTTTTAAAGTAATCTAGAGGTAGTTGAAACTCATAAATATCCTATTAAAATTAATTATAGCACCAACCAATAAAAATCCACAGTTGTTTCAGCATTTATCACAGCATAATGATAATGTCTTTCATCTCCAGAAAGTGAAACCAATATTCATACATAATCCATTAAATGCATTTTGTTAAACTTTAAGGTGCTTATAATTAGCTATCTCTCATACAGTAAAAAAATGGCATATTTGAATTATTAAATTTATTTTTCAGGAATCTTCTGTTAAGTTTGGAAATTACATTAAATAACAACCTGTGGGGCTCCTTTAAATCTATAATCCATGATTCTACGAATTCCATTCAGCAAGCTACTTTGACCTACATGTCGTCACATTTCCAATTTACATATTTTTTAGGACAGCCACTTTTGTTTTGTTTTTGTTTTTTTGAGATGGAGTCTTGCTCTGTTGCCCAGGCTGGAGTGCAGTGGCATGATCTAGGCTCACTGTAGCCTCCATGTCCCAGGTTCAAGCAATTCTCCTGCCTCAGCCTCCCAAGTAGCTGGGATTACAGGTGCACCACCACGCCTGGCTAATTTTTGTATTTTTAGTAGAGACAGTGTTTTGCCATGTTAGGTAGGCTGGTCTCCAAGCCCTGACCTCAAGTGATTCGGCTGCCTCGGTCTCCCAAAGTGCTGGGATTACAGGCGTGAGCCACCGTGCTCAGCTGATGGCCACTTCTAATATTCTCTTCCGGAAAACAGTAGTATACTGCAAAAATATTAAAAAATATTTCATGGTTGGAGAAGGAGAGGTCAAATAAGTTTAAAATGCTTTAAACAAAACTAATATGGTTAATTTATTGAATGAATTCTCAGATCTTTATTATTCTGACATTTTACTGATTGTGAGATAAAGAAACAAAGAATATCTAGTTTCCATTCAGCTACAGAATCTTGTTTTTGTTTTTCGTTTTTGTTTTTTTAAACACACCACAAATTTTCCACAAAACTGTATTGGGTAACACTGCTTATGCAATTGCAAAATTTATAAGTAAAGCCTATTGAACATAAATTTTTTACAATACTCACTCTCCTTAGAATAGAATACATTTGACCTCATTGGATGTAGTTTTATGGTTTAGACAGAAGTCAGCAAACTTTTTCTTTAAAGGGCCAGATAGTAAAAAGTTTTGTGAGACATGCAGTCTCTGTCACAACTGTTGACTCAGTTGTATCATGAAATCAGGCATAGACAATAAGTAAGTGAGTAGGCATGGTTTTGTTCTGATACAATTTGTTTTATAAAACAAGCGATGGGCCATATTTTGCCAAGATTTGTTTCAGACGGTGGGAATATATTCTAAACTAAAAAAAGAAATTTAAATCTGCTCTGAGAATCCACATTAAGTTATACATTAAATGCTAAGAGTAAATTAATTATTGTTCTATTCACTTCAGACTGCTAGCCTTAAAATATAACTTTTAAAATCTATCAGTCTCATTGCAATTCACTTGGCTCAAAGAGTGATACTTTCTTATAACCATGGGTCATTTGTATTGTGGATATTCATCTTTTCTGAATTCAATAAAGAACAGATGGCAAATTACTATTTTAAATGTTAATATATTCTAAATTTTATGTGCAGTGTTTAAGAGTTTCCATTATTTTCTCAAAACATATTAAAAAAAACAAATAAACAGAAAGATTCCTGTCTACAAATATTTATTTCACAAGCATGAGGACTTTTGCCTCAGACCACCAGGCATGTGTTTACCCTTCAAAATCTTCAATTTTTAAGGAAGTGTAAAATAATGTCATACTGTTTCATGAACCATTTGAAAAATTTCTTCATGTTTGACTTCATTTATTTTTCTATTTTTAGCTAGGACTCTTTCCTTGAACCATTTTCAGTGCTTATCCAAACAGTATGCTTTTATCCTGGAAGGTGAAAAAATACAAGAGTACTTCAATTCTCTAAGGCGCTCCCCTCCCGTGGTACCAATATCCTAAATTAAGAGCTTCCACTGAGTGTTTAAGATTCTATTTCAAAGACAGGACAAGACACAGCAGTTAGTCCCAGAGAAGGGAAAGTGAGCAGTATGGTAGTAAGTGGGTTAATAGGAAAACTAGGGCACCAAAAACCATCCTTCAAAAGAGCAATCTCATCACACTGACAGGTGGCATCAAAATCCCAGCATGCAGGCCCGCTGCTGCCACTACCTATGGCTGTTCTCACTGTCCCAAACCCGCCAGTCACTTGTTGCTCCACAATGAGACACACGTCACACAAAAACTTACACTCAGCTATTCTTTGAATTTACTCACATGAAATTGTACCTATCAATTACCTTCTAAGACAAAAACAAAAAATTTAACCATATAAGCCAAATCATTAATTTTTTTGTGAGTTCTTATTTAAAGGAACTGAAAAACTGTCTAAACTCATTATCGCTCTATAATATTATCATGACAGAAATTCAGTAAATAAATGTGCTAAGAAATTAAAATATGCATTAGTAAAAAGAGCACTTAAAACATATTAAATGAGATATTTAAAATATGTAAATAATTTAAGAAGATTATTATGAATCATTACTAATAAATATGATTTTTTGAGGCTTAAAACAAATATTAAAATACACATACTTCAGGAATTATTAAATAGAGAAAATATTTTTAGACAATAAAAAATGCAAAATTGATCTGTAACTAATCTTTTTTACATGGGAGAAATATATACTGCATTTATTTGCTTTCCCCTCTACAACTAAAGTTTAGATTGTCAGATAGAACTAAAATAATTATTTTGCATAGAAAACAAGTAAAACATTAATGTTTTTGAATTTAATAACCAAAATACTTTAAGAATGCATAAGAAACATTTATTCAGCCATAATAACTGTAGAAAGTTTGTACAAATGGATACTAAATTATATTTTATTAATCTGATCTGAACTATAAGATGCTTACAAAGTATTTCTATTATGCAATAAAATATATTTTCAGGTTGTTCATTATAAAACCTTTCTTTTAGTGTTTTATGTAATGTTAAAAAAGAGACATATTCTCATAACAAATGTCTTATACAGTAAAGGGTAATTTTTATTAATTCCTTAGCACCTCTTGTCTCATAAGTTGGAAATATCTCCATAGATAAAAGATGTTGAAAATTTAAAAAAAAACAATATTTAAAGCTTTATAATTGAGTAATACTCAGATTTCATCATATTCAGTTTTCAGACACAGAGTTCGTATACTCTGTAAAATGGAAAGTGTCATAGGCAAAGACATGTAGTTAAATGGCATCTGTAATATATGCTTTCAGACAATATATTTTTTGCAGTTTCTCAAAACATAAAAAGCTTTATTTAAAATTCTACAGTATATTACTAAATATATGATTTCTGCATTTCTGCCTATCTAGAAAAAAGGGATTGTTTTCTAAAATACAGCATGGTATGGGCTTACCTATGAAAAAGTTTGTATTATTTTCTTTATTTTCATAAGGATACTTAATTGAGAGCTTGAAAGGATGTTGTAGGTATTTTATACAGAAATTTCAGCAATAATTTTGACTTTATTTTTGTCTGTAATTCTTTGCGGAAAAAAATGGAAAAATGAGACCTAAATGGTAAAATTTATGTATTATTGAATGCTGACACTGAAAAGTGTCAAGCTGGAGAAATGCATTTGTTGCTATATTTCTCACATTGTGGATAGAGAGAAAAATACATATAACAAACACACAGACATTCTTTCAAAATGCACATTCTAGGGCAACCTTGTGGGGTAGATGGTAAGAATGATGGTGGAGGAAGAAAAGGGGACATGGATGTCAGTATTTTTTTAATTAATTTATTTTTTTAATTATTATTATTATACTTTAAGTTTTAGGATACATGTGCACAACATGCAGGTTTGTTACATATGCATACATGTGCCATGTTGGTGTGCTGCACCCATTAACTCGTCATTTAGCATTAGGTATATCTCCTAATGCTATCTCTCCCCTCTGCCCACACCCCACATCAGTCCCTGGTGTGTGATGTTCCCCTTCCTGTGTCCATGTGTTCTCATTGTTCAATTCCCACCTATGAGTGAGAACATGCAGTGTTTGGTTTTTTGTCCTTGTGACAGTTTGCTGAGAATGATGTCAGTATTTTAATATGCTTCTCTGAGTAAACATACACAACCTTCCACCAATCCCTCTGTGGCATTCTACAAAATTTAATTCTTGGTACTCTTTAATCAGAAATTTGGATGGGAAATATAAAGCTATCTGGATCACAGCCTTGATAATAAGCCATATTCAATCAGACAAACCTTTGAGGAATATTTACAAAAATGAGGGAATTAAGATGTGGACTGTGGGCCAGGTGTGGTGGCTCACACCTGTAATCTCAGCACTTTAGAAGGCCGAGGCAGAGGCAAGAGAATCGCTTGAACCCAGGAGGCAGACGTTGCAGTGAGCCAAGACTGTACCACTGCACTCCAGTCTGGGTGACAGAGTGAGACTCCATCTTAAAAAAAGGAAAAAAAAAAAACAAAAAGATGTGGATTGTGGACAACTGTTACCAGAAACCATACGAGACGTAAAAACAGACTAAGTCAAAATGTGAAGTCCTGCATTTGTAAGTGCCTAAAGCTTTCCACCCAGAAACACTTTCCAGTTGTGTTGAGCTGAAAAGACAGGTAGATAAGAAGTGAGAATATGGATAGTTTGTAGTTTGGGTCAGAATTAATAATAATAGTTTTAACTGTATGTAGCAGATGCTGTCCTATGTGCTTTGCATATATTTTAACTCCTTTATTTTTCACAACATGCCTATGAGCTAACTGAAAATAATGAAAGAAGACTATTCTACAGGAAAAAAAAAAAAAAGAGAGAGGAAGAAACAGGTTAAGTAACTTGCCCAAGGATGCAATCTCTTAACCAGTGGGTCCAAAATTTGGGGAGAGGCAATCTGTCCACAAAATTCACACTTAATCACAAAGAGTCATGGAGCTTACTTTTGTACTCAGCACCCATGGGCCTATTCTCCAGTGGTAGAAACAAGCTGGGCACTTGAAAATATGCAACCAATAAAAATCTTGGAGTGTTAGGTAAGAGCCAAATAATGTGGACATGTTGAAAAGGTGGATTTCAACCTACAAGTTACAAATTACTAAGACTAACTGTGATGTCCTGTATTTATAAGTGCCTAAAGTTTATCTACTCTTAGCCATGATGAACTAACAGGTGCAGGATTATCTCTCCCAGTGTAAACAATTAGAGACCGGGACACTATTGTTTTCAGAC
Source organism: Homo sapiens (assembly GCF_000001405.40). Taxonomy (NCBI): domain Eukaryota; kingdom Metazoa; phylum Chordata; class Mammalia; order Primates; family Hominidae; genus Homo; species Homo sapiens. The sequence goes on along the minus strand of NW_019805489.1, from coordinate 45,566 downwards.
AGTAACATGTTTTGAATACTGAAATGAGGCAACAAGGTGAGTCTTATGATTGTCCAAGTTTTCCACCCAGAAACACTTTCCAGTTGTGTTGAGCTAAAAAGACAATATCAGAGTTTGAAAAGGCTATGACTGCTGGTATTTGCAGGACAGGGTACAAGGAAGTGGGAGCTTCACATAGAAAGTACTCCAGAAATTTGCATAAGGGTGCCCTTGAGACTTCAGATGCAATCTAAGCTGTGCATGCACTGAGTGAGACTCAACAAGGCCAAGTGAACAATCACTATCAAGGAACACAAAGTGAAAGACTACTGAGGTTCACGACTAAATGAACCACCATGCAATACAAAGCACAACATAATGAAGCAGGATATTTACTTGACCCCTTTGCAGGACCTGCGAAGAGGGTGCCTAGTTTACTCAGCCCACAGCTCTCAACTCCCTGCAGGAGGGAGTGTGTGAGTGAATGAGGCGGGAACTGGAGTGCAGGAGCAGAGGTGAACTCCATTAACTCCCACCTGCTTTGCTCCACCCCTTGTGGGAGTGAGCGCACAGGTAAGCAGGTGCAGGAGCCAGGGTGAGTGCTTTTGGGTGTCGGCAAGAGCAAACTCTGTGTAGGCCCCATGGCAGTGTCTGGACTTGGGGGTGCCTGTGACCCCTGAAGCCCCAGAGGGAGTGTTACAGTGCTCCTTTAGCTCTGCCATCTGTGGACGGCTTAAGTGTTAACAGCTCAGAGGGCCCTCTTTTATCTGCACTCATGGATCCCAAGCTCTTGCCCAGCATCCAGAAGAATGAGGTCACAGGAATGATTTGAATGATGGTAAATGCAGGGGGCGGGGTTTATTGCCAATGAAAGTGGCTCTCAGTAGGAAGAGGAGCTGAAAAGGGGATGGGGTGGGAAGGTAATCTTCCCCTGAAGTCCGGAAGTCTCCAGCTGGATTCTTCTCTGAAGTTACACCATCAAGCTGTCCCTCTGAAGTCAAGCTGCTTCTTTCTAATGTCCAGACATAGTCTCTGATGTCCAGCTGCTCCTTGTCTGTCAGCTGATTCTGGGGCTTTTATAGACACAGGATGGGGTGCAGTACAGGCCATGGGTGGTTTAGGAAAAGGACACATTTCAGCAGGAAAACAGGGATATAAGTTCTCACTGTGGGCCATGGTCACAGGTTTTTATGCTTGAGAGTGGGGCTTTGCCAGGGACTGGCCCCTGTCTGCCTAGAATTTCTCTGCCCCCGTCCCCATCAATAACATTAAAGGAATGAGACAAAATCTGTATGTGCAGCCATGTAACATTCACAAAGTTCAGTATCTAAGCAAAAATAGTAGAGATGTGAAGAAGCAAAAACAAGTAACAATCCTAAGAAAAAAGTAAGAACAACAATTAAAAAAAACTGATAATATCAGAGATGATGAATTAACCCCAAACTATTATAAACAAATTTGATGATTTTTTTGTTTTTGTTTTTGAAACAGAGTGTCACTCTGTCACCCAGGCTGGAGTTCAGTGGCACGATCTTAGCTCACTGCATCCTCTACCTCCTGGGTTCATTCGATTCTCGAGCCTTAGCCTCCCAAGTAGCTGGGATTACAGGTGTGCACCACCGGCCCAACTAATTTTTGTATTATTAGTAGAGATGGGGTTTTACCATGTTGGCCAGGGAGGGTTTGAACTCCTGGCCTCAAGCAATCTGCCTGCTTGGGTCTCCCAAAGTACTGGAATTACAGGTGTGAGCCACTGCATCTGGCCTAAATTCAATATTTTTTTTTTTTAAAAGAAGGCCAGGTAAGCAAATAAATACAAACTATTAACAATATCAAATGAACCTCCTAAAATCAAAAAAGCAGAATACCCGAAATGAAAAATTTACTGGGAGGGATTAACAGTAGATTAGAAACTGCAGAAGAGTTCAGTAAATGTAAAGTCATAGTAACAGAAACAACCCCAGCTGAAGCATGGTAAAATAAAAAGAAAGGCTGATATAAAAGAGCAAAGCCTCAGTAATCTGTGGGATAATAGCAAGCTATCTAATATATGTAAACTTAGTACCAGACTTTCAAATGGGGGAAGGAGAAAAATATTTGAGTATAAAAATGGCTAGAAAAAATACCCAACTCTGATGAAACATAACAGTCCACAAACCCCAAAAGTGTAAAGAACATGAAGTTAGATAAACACACAGAACACCAAGCTATATCATAACCAAATGGTTTAAGGTCAATAATAAATAAAAACTCTTAAAAGCTCCCTGAATAAAACAGTTGCTTTCCACATACAGGAAAACAAAGATAGAGACAAATTACCAGAAACAATGTAATCCACAAGTCTATAGAACAACATCATTAAAGCAATGAAAGAAAAAATAAGGAAAAAGGCCTTCTATATTATAAATATCCTTTAAAATTGAAGTAAATATCCTTTAAAATGAAATTCAAGTAAAAATTGAAGTAAAATAAAACAATTTTTAGCAGAAAAAAAGAATTAGTCACTGATACCACAAGACATGTTAAAATAAGTTCTTTAGGGTGAAGAAAAAGGTTACCAGATGGAAATTCAGAGATACGAAAAGAAATGAAGAAATTGATAACTAGGAGGGTATAAAAATACTTTTTTTCTTTCAGTTTCTTTAAAAGATAGTTGGCTGTATAAAATGAGAATAATAACAATATATAATCTGGTCTATAGCAATTGCTGAATTAAGCATTCTAAAATGCAACAAAATATGGGAGAGAAAAATGAAAGTATACAGTCATGAAGTTTTTACATTATATATGAAATAGAAAAACAACTTATTTGTAGACTGAAATAATTTTAAAATGCATATTGTAAACCACAGAGCAACCACTGAGGGTAGGGCAGAAAAAGGATGCATAGCTAAAATGTCAATAGAGGAGGTAAAATGAACACTAAAATATAATACTCAATTAACAAATAATACAAAGGAAGGAAAAGAAAACAAAGAACAAATGGGAAAAATAGAAAATAGGAATACGGTAAATGTGAGGCAAACATATTAATATTTAGGTTAAATGTCAATGAGAACAACATACAAATTAATTGTCAAAGTAGATAAAGCAGCGGAATTCACTATATATTATCTACACAAAACTCCCTTCAATATAAAGACAGATTGGTTAAAAGGATGGAAAAGGCTAGAGTGACTGTACTAATATCAGACAAAGCTTCAAGATAAGAAATACTAATAGAGATTTAAACTGGACATTTTAGAATAATAAAGAGTTCAATTATCAAGAATATATAACAAACTTAAATAGGTACACACATAATAATAGAGCTTCAAATCACAATGCTGAAAAACAAATTAAAGAATACCTAAATAAATTAGGAGATTTTTCAGGTTGATAAGTTGGCAGACACAACACTGCTAATGCTGTATTTCAGTCATCTCCAAATAGCTCTGTACATTCAACACAATCCCAGTAAAAATTCTAATGGGCTATGTTATAGATATTGACACGTTTATTTTAAAATTTATATTGAAATTCAAGGAGCATTTAAGAACTAACATTATTTTGAAAGAGAAAAAAATTAAGAATACTAGCACTTTTTAAAAAAATGTCAAGACTAACTACAAAACTAGTGTGATCAATTTGGTTATATTGCTATAAGAATAAACAAACAGCTCACTGGAACAGAATAGAGAGTCCAGTAGTAGACTGAACCTTATATGAGCAATTGATTTCAACAATAGTGCCAAGGTAAATCAATAAGAAAAGTAAGATTTTTTCAGTAAATACTGTTGGCTAACTTTCTAACTATATGGGAAAAAATGTATTTTCAAGCACACCTTACACAAATGTGCATTCTAAAGGTAAAAGGTAAAACTACACAACTTGACTTACTTATTTATTTATTTATTTATTTATTTATTTATTTATTTATTTGCGACAGGGTCTCATTGTGTCACCCAGGCTGGAGTGCAGTAGTGTCATTACAGCTCACTGCAGCTTCTCCCTCCCCAGGCTCAGGTAATCCTCCCACCCCAGACTCCTGAATAGCTGGCATTGCAGGCATGCACCACCATGCCCAGCTAATTTTTCCATTTTCTGCAGAGATGAGTTTTCTCCATGTTGCCCAGGCTGGTCTCAAACTCCTGGGCTCAAGTGATCCACCTGCCTCAGCCTCCCAAAGTGCTGGGATTACAGCCACCACACCTGGCCTATATAACTTTCTTTTTTTTTTTTTTTTTTTTTTTTTTTTTCTGGAGATGCAGTGGTACTCAGCACTCTGTCAACCAGACTGGAATGATCTCAGTTCACTGAAACCTCTGCCTCCTAGGTTCAAGCAATTCTTCTACCTCAGCCTCCTGAGTAGCTGGGATTACAAGCACCCGCCACCAAGCCCAGCTAATTTTTGTATTTTTAGAAGAGACAAGGTCTCACCATGTGGGCCAAGCTGGTCTTGAACTCCTGATCTCAAATGACCCTCCCACCTCGGCCTCCCAAAGTGCTGAGATTGCAAGAATGAGCCACCGTGCCCAGCCAAGCATATAAAACTTTTAAAAGAAAAAATAAGAAAACGTATTTATGATAGGGAAAGGAGAAGGATTTGTAAGCCACAATATTAAAAATATGAGCAATAAAATAAAAATAAATAAATTTATCTTTTATCGAAACTCTAAACTGGTTTTTAAAAAGTAATTATAAAGAAAATGAAATTCAGGCCACTAATTGGTAGAAAATATATGCAATATGTATATCTGACAAATGGCTTGCATCTGAAATATATAAAAAAATTCAATAGTAAGAAAAAGTATGTACACATATATACAGAGAAATATGCATAGACAGATTCTTCCATAAAAAGATATACTAAGTCCATCAGCATAAAAAACATGCTCAAAATCATTTGTTATCAGAGAAATGAAAATTAAAACTATAATCAGAGTCAAATACACACATATTAGATTGTTAAAATAAAGACTGACAATATGCGTGTTTCAAGGATGTAGAGCAAGGAGACTCTCATATACTACTGGTGGGAGTGTAATACAGTACCACCACTTTAGAAAATAGATTTGCATGTTCTTATAAAGTTAAAATACACTTACTATGTGACCTAGCAATTTCACTCCTGCATATTTGCTAACAGAAAAGAAAATCTATGTTTACAAAAAGGCTTGTACGTGAACATTCATATTACCTTGATTCATAATAGCTTCAAACTGGAAACAGTCCAAATGACAATTAGCAAAAGAATGGATTAGCAAACTGATATGAGCATAAAATAGAATATACTCAGCAATAATCATGAACAAATTAATGATAAACACAACATGGATGAATTTTAAAAACATGCTGAGCAAAAAATGCCAGGCATATTACTACAGGACATATTACTACATATGTCCATAGATAAGAAGTTCTAGAATAGACAAAATAAATCTTTATTAATGCAAATTAGATCAGCGGTTAGACTAGATTAGGTGGCAGTGGATTGACAGAAAAGGAACATAAGATAAATTTTTGGTGTTAAAAACGTTCCTTGTATCTTGTTTGTGGTCATGATTATACAACTGTTTACACTGGCCAAACTCAACAAATTTTACATTTAATTGGGTGCTTTTTTTTATATTTAAGTTACTTCTCAATATGTTTCACAAAAAATTAATATGGAACAGGGAAATCTGAGCTTCAATTCATTCCATGTAAAACAATTTCATATGGCTTTGATTGGTTGCATGTTCAATTGCAGCCAAGTAGTTACCAAAATTATTCCTCATTCTGAGGCTGCCTGAACAAAAACACACTAAGTACAGATCAGGAGACAGTATGACCACTGTCTGGCCACAAACGTAATACTATGTCCTGTTCTTTCTAACATATTTTAAGAAAGCACTTCACTTTGGGAAGATGATGATGCTCATAATGAGAGATGGCAAAAAGAATGCTCAAGGTAACTGGAATTGCTTTTAGCCAGAGAAAGGGAAAACTTAGTTGGGATCTTACAGCCATCCTAAAATACTGCAAGGTTAGTGTGGCAGAAACTGCTGGATACTACCCCAATTTTTCCTTACTTCTTCATTAATAGAATTACAATTCTATTGAGTATGGCAACGTGCCCAGGTATAAAATGTATTTCATCAAATCCCATTTTAGTTAAGGCCAATGAGGCATATGTTGGTCAGGACTTTAAGAACAGACCCTTTAAAAGATCAGTTAGCCTTAGTGGGCATGTGCCTTTCTTCTTTCTCCAAGTGGAATATTACAATGATGACTATAGCTTCAGCCTTTATCAGCAACCATGAGGAAAAGACAGAGAGCTTGGGTCTAATATCTTCAAGACACTGAATTAACACCAACGCTTCATTCGATTTCTCATTTTGTGAGAAAAATATTTAGAGAAGTATTTGGAGAAGTCCACTGTTAATGAGTTTTCTGTTACATGAAGGAAAACACGAAACTCTAACTGATACTAGGTAGATATAGAGAATGCACAGACATGCATGTTTTCGCTCCAGAAGGCAGAGCGTGAGCAAGCTAAATATAGCTAGGTATTAGGTCAGTATGATGAAAAATGTAATGATGGAGCTTTACAAAAACTGAATGGGCTAGCTAAAAACATAGCGACTCCTGTACTAGCAGTTCAGTAAAGTCTGCAGGGCAACACGCCAGCTACACTAAATGAGGTCTGCCTAGGAAGCAGTGGAAAAAAAATTATGTGAACTCCTAAGGGTTATTCCTTTAAACTCTAAGATGCTATGGCTGGACTTTTTTTAGAGTAATTATATTTGTCTATTTCATGTTATGGTAGGAATTTGCCCTAAGGAAGTAGAACTAGTTTAGCTCAGAATGGCAATATTTCTTCTAAAACTTATTAGGAAACTAGAAGGAACGCTTTGTGGATGTAGTTTTCCTAAAGGTCATGCAGAACTTCCAGGTATTACAGATTTTGAAAGATGAATAATAGCCATTTTAGTGGTTATCTTTTTTTTTTTTTAATAGATGGAGTTGTCCAGGCTGGAGGGCAGTGGCATGATCTTGGCTTACTGCAACCTCCGCCTCCTGGGTTCAAGTGATTCTCCTGCTTCAGCCTCCTGAGTAGCTGGGATTACAGGCCCCTGCACCACACCCAGCTAATTTTTGTATTTTTAGTAGAGACGGGATTTCGCCATCTTGGCCAGGCTACTCTTGATCTCCTGACCTCAGGTGATCCACCCGCCTTGGCCTCCCAAAGAGCTGGGATTACAAGCATGAGCCGTCGTGCCCAGCTCATATCATTCTCAAAGGACTTTTGTAGCACACAGAATGGTTTCTAAATAATATTATCCATATCTTGACTAACACGGTGAAACCCCATCTCTACTAAAAATCCAAAAAATTAGCCGGGCGCGGTGGCGGGCGCCTGTAATCCCAGCTACTCAGGAGGCTGAGGCAGGAGAACGGCGAGAACCCGGGGGGCGGAGCTTGCAGTGAGCCGAGATAGCGCCACTGCAGTCCGGCCTGGGCGAAAGAGCGAGTACTCCGTCTCAAAAAATAATAATAATAATAATATCATCCATAATATTAGTTGATAGTCTCTTCATAATTCTAAATCCAGCATTTTTCAAAGCATTACCAATGAAGGAGAACTTTTAAGATGAAGCTAAATATAAAAAAAAAGTGAATTACTGCAAATTACTATACATAGTATAATTTGAAATTTTGGTAATATTGTCTAAGACAAATCATCCTTTTGGGATAGTTTTTTTCCATACTGTTCAAACTACACTTCATCCTATAACGGCAGACATGGCCTAATGATTCTCATTTTTAATCAACAGTGTTGTCAGACATTTCAATGATTCTGAACATAATGTTATGACATTCAGGGCCAGAGAGCAAGCATTCTCTACTTGCTCTCAGCTGAAAGCAAAGAGGTTCTCAAGAGCTGCCAGCCTTTCTCCTTTATGCTCTGAAAGCCTCCTAAACTTGTCAGTTTACTTCCATTACCCTTTTATTGAAAACAATGAAAGAAAAAAAGTTACTACGGTGTTTATACTTTTAAAGTGAATGTCTTTTGTAATAAGGTAGAAATATCACAGAACCATCGAATGTTGGAATCAGAAGCATGTTTGGCATATCATCAAGTACAATAGCCACATCCTGCCTATGTGGAAAGCTGGAGGGGCTAAAGGACCTCTCAAAGCTACACATGTAGAGTCAGCAGCAGAGCAGAGCTTAAAGCAGCAAGTGACTCTTACGGCCATCAGTAATCACACTCTTGCTTAACATGCAAATGAATAAAGCTATTTTTATAAAATCCCTCCCCCCCCCATATATTGGCAGTAACTCTAAATTCTAGTCATTTTTTAACCATTACAGAATAAGATTAGAAGCATCAGTAGTTAATGGTGATAATAATTTCCATTTTATATGGGGTTTTATGGTTCACAAATATATTTTATAAAATAAGTTTCTAATATTTCATTTTCTTATATTGAGGGCTTTTAAAAGAAATAACCAAAACCTATTTTATTAAAATTTGATATTTAAAATTATAGTTGAGAATAGTGGAAGATTTTTCCCATTATCTTTGCTCTCCTGGATAGCAACCAGATAAATGACTTCCCAGAGAAATGCATAGAGTCATATAAGATAAAACGTCTTTTTTTCTCCATTTTACTCAGAGTTTGATGATGAACTATGACTGGATATTGAAATAATCATTCTTTTATCCTTTGTAGTAAGGCTTACTTTGTCCAGTGGCAACATGATCAGACAAGCAGCTCTCAGATGACATGTGACAATATTAAATTCAATCTTAGCAAGCAGCTTCTCAATTTCACACTTGTGGTAGCTGGATTAACCCAATTATTTTTTGGAGGTTAAGGGAAACTTTCACATTTGCAGAATACCATCCTTCAGAAACCGGAATGTAGGATTTTGTTATCTCAAAGAATTTTATGGAGATGGAAAGATCAGTTAGTATTAAATTTTAGCACACAATCAGATGAAGGGTTTAGGAAGAAGTAGATATGATTACCTAATAATTCACTTTGAGTTCTTCACTTTGAGCCTCAAAAATGTGTGAAACTTGGGACTTTTACTAAGCATATCTTTCAGGCAAAATATTTTCATTGTACCAGTTCCAAGCTCTTGGTTCTAACACAAAACCCCTGCTACACATACACACACATGCACTCACACACACACAGGCTACCTATATATACACCTGCTATGTGTGTGGATATGTATTTACACATACACATATCAGGTGTATACATACGTAGCATGTATATATACACATACACACACACGCACACAGGCACACACATACTTGTTACCTACATATGTATACATGCACATATCAGGTGTATGTAAATGTAACATGTATATGTACACACACGCACACAGGCACACACATACTTGTTACCTATATATGTATACATGCACATATCAGGTGTATGTAAATGGAACATGTATATGTACACACACGCACACAGGCACACACATACTTGTTACATATATAATTACACATGCACATATCAGGTGTATGTAAATGTAACATTTATATATACACACACGCACACAGGCACACACATACTTGCTACATATATATACAGTCAGGTGCTGCATGATGACATTTTGCTCAAGAACAGATCACATACATGAGGGTGGTTCCATAGATTATAGTGGAGCTGAAAAACTCTAGTGGCATTGTTCTCATTGTGACATTAGTGCAATTACTTAATTTTTAAAACAAATTTAGTGTAACCTAAGTGTACAGTGTTTATAAAGCCTACAGTAATGCATAGTAACGTCTTAGGCCTTCACATTTGCTCACTGCTCATTCACAGATCCACCCAGAGCAACTTCTACTCCCACAAGTTCCATGAAAAGTGCCCTATACAGGGGTGGCAATTTTTTTTAATCTTTTATATCATATTTCGCTGTACCTTTTCTGTGTTTAGATATGTTTAGATATACAAATACCACTGCATTGTAATTGCCTACAGTGTTCAGTACAATAACATGCTATGCAGGTTTGTAGCTTAGAAGTAATAAGCTATACGACATAGCCTAGTTGTTTAGGAGGCTACACAATGTGTTTGTGTTATGTGCACTCTATGATGTTCTCTCAACAATGAAGTCACCTAATGATGCATTTCTCAGAAAGCATCTCCATTATTAAATGGCACATGAACGTATTTGCTACATATATACATACTGGCTATAAACACACACACACACACACACACACACACACACACACACCTGCTACAGTCCTTTCAAAGTATAAAAAAAGATACCAAAATGTGTTAGAGATTCGTTTGTAAAATGTAACTATTTTCGGACCAGATGGATTCACAGCCGAATTCTACCAGAGGTACAAGGAGGAACTGGTACCATTCCTTCTGAAACTATTCCAATCAATAGAAAAAGAGGGAAACCTCCCTAACTCATTTTATGAGGCCAGCATCATCCTGATACCAAAGCCAGGCAGAGACACAACCAAAAAAGAGAATTTTAGACCAATATCCTTGATGAACATTGATGCAAAAATCCTCAATAAAATACTGGCAACCCGAATCCAGCAGCACATCAAAAAGCTTATCCACCATGATCAAGTGGGCTTCATCCCTGGGATGCAAGGCTGGTTCAATATACGCAAATCAATAAATGTAATCCAGCGTATAAACAGAACCAAAGACAAAAACCAGATGATTATCTCAATAGATGCAGAAAAGGCCTTTGACAAAATTCAACAACGCTTCATGCTAAAAACTCTCAATAAATTAGGTATTGATGGGATGTATCTCAAAATAATAAGAGCTATCTATGACAAACCCACAGCCAATATCATAATGAATGGGCAAAAACTGGAAGCATTCCCTTTGAAAACTGGCACAAGACAGGGATGCCCTCTCTCACCTCTCCTATTCAACATAGTGTTGGAAGTTCTGGCCAGGGCAATCAGGCAGGAGAAGGAAATAAAGGGTATTCAGTTAGGAAAAGAGGAAGTCAAACTGTCCCTGTTTGCAGACAACATGATTGTACATCTAGAAAACCCCATTGTCTCAGCCCAAAATCTCCTTAAGCTGATAAGCAACTTCAGCAAAGTTTCAGGATACAAAATCAATGTACAAAAATCACAAGCATTCTTATACACCAATAACAGACAGAGAGCCAAATCATGAGTGAACTCCCATTCACAATTGCTTCAAAGAGAATAAAATACTTAGGAATCCAACTTACAAGGGACGTGGAGGACCTCTTCAAGGAGAACTACAAACCACTGCTCAAGGAAATAAAAGAGGACACAAACAAATGGAAGAACATTCCATGCTCATGGGTAGGAAGAATCAGTATCGTGAAAATGGCCGTATTGCCCCAGGTAATTTATAGATTCAATGCCATCCCCATCAAGCTACCAATGACTTTCTTCACAGAATTGGAAAAAACTACTTTAAAGTTCATATGGAAGCAAAAAAGAGCCCGCATCGCCAAGTCAATCCTAAGCCAAAAGAACAAGGCTGGAGGCATCATGCTACCTGACTTCAAACTATACTACAAGGCTACAGTAACCAAAACAGCATGGAACTGGTACCAAAATAGAGATATAGATCAATGGAACAGAATAGAGCCCTCAGAAATAACGCCGCATATCTACAACTATCTGATCTTTGACAAACCTGAGAAAAACAAGCAATGGGGAAAGGATTCCCTATTTAATAAATGGTGCTGGGAAAACTGGCTAGCCATATGTAGAAAGCTGAAACTGGATCCCTTCCTTACACCTTATACAAAAATTAATTCAAGATGGATTAAAGATTTAAACGTTAGACCTAAAACCATAAAAACCCTAGAAGAAAACCTAGGCATTACCATTCAGGACATAGGCATGGGCAAGGACTTCAAGTCTAAAACACCAAAAGCAATGGCAACAAAAGACAAAATTGACAAATGGGATCTAATTATACTAAAGAGCTTCTGCACAGCAAAAGAAACTACCAACAGAGTGAACAGGCAACCTACAAAATGGGAGAAAATTTTCGCAACCTACTCATCTGACAAAGGGCTAATATCCAGAATCTACAATGAACTCAAACAAATTTACAAGAAAAAAACAAACAACCCCATCAAAAAGTGGGCAAAGGATATGAACAGACACTTCTCAAAAGAAGACATTTATGCAGCCAACAGACACATGAAAAAATGCTCATCATCACTGGCCATCAGAGAAATGCAAATCAAAACCACAATGGGATACCATCTCACACCAGTTAGAATGACAATCATTAAAAAGTCAGGAAACAACAGGTGCTGGAGAGGATGTGGAGAAATAGGAACACTTTTACACTGTTGTTGGGACTGTAAACTAGTTCAACCATTGTGGAAGTCAGTGTGGCGATTTCTCAGGGATCTAGAACTAGAAATACCATTTGACCCACCAATCCCATTACTGGGTATATACCCAAAGGACTATAAATCATGCTGTTATAAAGACACATGCACACGTATGTTTATTGAGGCACTATTCACAATAGCAAAGACTTGGAACCAACCCAAATGTCCAACAATGATAGACTGGATTAAGAAAATGTGGCACATATACACCATGGAATACTATGCAGCCATAAATAATGATGAGTTCATATGCTTTGTAGGGACATGGATGAAATTGGAAATCATCATTCTCAGTAAAGTATCGCAAGGACAAAAAACCAAACACTGCATGTTCTCACTCACAGATGGGAATTGAACAATGAGAACACATGGACACAGGAAGGGGAACATCACACTCTGGGGTGGGGGGAGGGGGGAGGGTTAGCATTAGGAGATATACCTAATGCTAAATGACGAGTTAATGGGTGCGGCACACTAGCATGGCACATGTATACATATGTAACTAACCTGCACATTGTGCACATGTACCCTAAAACTTAAAGTATAATAATAATTAAAAAAAGATAATAAAGTTCAGATGCTTAAAAAAAATGTAACTATTTTCATTACAGTTGCTTTCAAATTTATCAGACAATATTTTGCAAAATTATAAATTCCATTGAAAATACATCAAAGCCTCATAATTAATGTTAAGCATGTCTTGGATCCTATGTATCTCAGATTTTTTTAGGTCATACAATTTCAAATGTTCCATCTCATCACACTCAAAAGTACACACAATTTCAGACCTGGTATTTTGATTTCTGTACTGAGAAGGATGACCACCAAACATGTTATTTTGCCTTCGTGGAATCAGAAAAATCCACAAAATCTAATTTTACATAAATTTATCAAAGTATACAATGGGTCATAATGATTTAACCTTTGTCAAAATAAAATATGATTTGGAACCAAGCGACTTCTATTCCATTTACTAGTAGTGCAGTTTAAGAAAATTTACTAATAGTCTGTGAATTCGGATCAGTTTTCTCTGCTGTAAAATGAGGATAATAATATTATCTAAATAGATTTTTGCAAAAATTCACCAAAATAATGAAATAATGTAATATGTAAGAATATCATGTCAATATTTATTTTATATTAATATGTAAAAACAAATTATTGCTGTAACTCATTACTGTAGCCCACACACTCATCTTTCTCCATATGCTCTAGACTAAAATTTAGAGACTTATTGAAAATGTTTACAGTATAATTATCTGATATACTCACTTTGTTTTTCTCCTTCAAAGTAGTGTTAATAATATGGAATCAAATATATCATCCACCCAATTGGCATAGAATAAATTTCCAAATAGTGACTTAAATAAGTTATATGGAAAGCTGTGCTATATGATGCATAATTCTCCTTTGACAATTTAAGAGAAAGATTATTTTCATACACTAACAGTATCAGATTTTCCAACAGAAATGTACTTTCCCCAAGTTACTAGATAGTCATAGAGAATATAAGTAAAACATATTTGTCAAAAAATGTCAGTTTGACTCTTCTTCCAAGATATGTCTCCTTTCCTCCACTGACTAACTTGTGATCTGTCTTTTGAGTATGTATTTTATTCTCATAAATACCTTAATTATACTGACACAAACACAAATTTATAATCTGTTCCTCATGTAAGGCAATACATTTATCTGCCATTTTATACTTGACTCAAAAAAAAGGGTCTCTTTGTCTTCAAAAATGGAGATTAGAACTCCATTAATTTAGGCAAGAAGGAACTGGTGGGAGTAGATGTGTTTTGGGAACATCAAGCTTGGGTCTCAGCTGCTGCATTCCAAAAATAATTTCCCTCACTGTAGGTTATGTATTATTTGACTCAGAGGGAATATTAAAACGTTTGAGTAATTTAAACAAGAATTTAAAAAACAGCGGATAACTGGTAATATCACTCCCGAATGTACAACCCAAGGGAATTCTAGCACTATTAAGACTTCAAATCAATTCCTCAGAACCTGAAATTTGCTACATTTCTCCTGCCATCTTTTCTCTTGCCTTCTTTTCACCCATCATCATATTCTCTTCCTTTGATTTTCAGTATTCACCACTGATGGTCTTAAAGTGGAACTGTTCTTTTGGTTTTGTTTTACGCAGAGGAAAAAGACATATTTTCTGATCTTAAGATAAAAGAAATGAGTTAGGACCCTTTATATATTTACAAGAAAAGGGAATGAGAGAGGAGAGATGGTGGGCATGCAAGCACACAAGTTTGTGAGTGTGCACACACAGAAATTTATCACTCTTTTCTTTATTTGAATCAGTAAATCTAATTACATGGGTTGGTCAGGGGTAAGTCTTCACTAACACAGCCACTTTACTCTGAAATACAGCTACCAGAAATCACAACTATAACTGCTTCAAATCCTAATGAAATGATGATGAAAATGCATTTGTGTTAATTCCCAAAGGACTCAAATCGAATGTCAAATCTGTTTTCAAAGCAGCTTCTGAACTAGGAAACTAATTTCTAATACACAGGATAGTTCAATATGCATTATTTCCCAATATCAGTTTTATTTTGTGAATATATTTGAGAGATTACAAAACCCAGAAGAATGTCTTGAGTTAAAGTCAAAGCAATATTCTAGTTACAGACTGAGATACTTGTTACAGATTTTCCAGTTCATTAATGCTGTTATAGATATTTTAAAGAATAGTGGCAAATATTTATTTTAATTACATGAGAAAATAGAGTAAAATGAGAGTGATATAAAAATAATGTAAAAGAGAATGATTTCATATTAAGGTACATGCATGTTTATGTGTATGCGTGTGTTTAGTTGAACCAAGGGAAATTACCAACATTTGACACTGGAAATTGACAGAAGCAAAGACACAGAGAGACAGAGTCAGAGACAGAGAGACACAAGGAAGATTCTATCTCATAAAAGGAAACAAAATCCACAGACAAGCATCTCTTCCCCATGGCCATGCGAAGTCTCCAGTTATATTTTTGGTATTTTATGTTTAAATAGAAAGTCTAGCATAGAATCAATAATATTGGAAGAAAAGCCATAATACGAAATAAACAAAGCAAACAAATGGAAAAAAATGCACCAAAAAAAGACATTGTACATAAAGAAAACAACTTGAAAGAACACATCCTTATAATTAATATTGTGAAAAATTTTATATCCATTAAGCAAGACAGTGTTATTTTAAAATTAAACATCAGAGTTCAAGAAAGAGATCCTGGAAATCAAAGATATGACAGCAGATATCACAACTAAATAGAAAGCTGAAAGACAAAATCAAGGTACATTCCAGGGACAGAAACAAACAAACAAGATAAGAGAATACAACAAGATAATACAATAAGATAATACAAGATAAGATACACAGAAAAGATAATAGAAGAGAAAAGTAAAGAAACTGAGATGTCAATACAGGTAGTCAAATACTCAAAGGTTGCATCAGAAAACAGGAGAAAACAACATCACTAATGATCAGGGAAATGAAAATCAAAACCACAAGGTGATACCACCTTACTCCTTCAAGAATGGCCATGATCAAAAAATCAAAAAACAACAGATGTTGGCATGGATGCAGTGAACAGGAAACAGTTCTACACTGCTGGCGGGAATGCAAACTAGTACAACCACTATGGAAAACAGTGTGGCGATTCCTTAAAGAACCAAAAGGAGAACTATCATTTGATCCAACAATCCCACCACTGGGTATCTACCCATAGGAAAAGAAGCCATTATATGAAATAGATTCTTCAACATGCATGTTTATAGCAGTAAAATTTGCAATTGCAAAAATATGGAACCAGCCCAAATGCCCATAAATCAATGAATGGATAAAGATATTGTGATATATAGTGCTTAACGAAATAAAAGAGGATACAAACAAATAGAAGAACATTCCATGCTCATGGATAGGAACAATCAATACCATGAAAATGGCCATAACTGCCCAAGGTAATTTATAGATTCAATGCCATCCCCACCAAGCTACCAATGACTTTCTTCACAGAATGGAAAAAACTACTTTAAAGTTCATATGGAACCAAAAAAGAGCCCGCATTGCCAAGACAATCCTAAGCCAAAAGAACAAAGCTGGAGGCATCACGCTACCTGACTTCAAACTATACAACAAGGCTACAGTAACCAAAACAGCATGGTACTGGTACCAAAACAGAGATATAGACCAATGGAACAGAACAGAGCCCTCAGAAATAATACCACACATCTACAACCATCTGATCTTTGACAAACCTGACAAAAACAATAAATGGGAAAAGGATTCCTCATTTAATAAATGGCGCTGGAAAATTGGCTAGCCATATGTAGAAAGCTGAAACTGGATCCCTTCCTTACACCTTATACAAAAATTAATTCAAGATGGATTAAAGACTTAAACGTTAGACCTAAAACCATAAAAACCCTAGAAGAAAACCTAGGCAATACCATTCAGGACATAGGCATGGGCAAGGACTTCATGACTAAAACACCAAAAGCAATGGCAACAAAAGCCAAAATTGACAAATGGGATCTAATTAAACTGAAGAGTTTCTGCACAGCAAAAGAAACTACCACCAGAGTGAGCAGGCAACCTACAGAATGGGAGAACATTTTTACAATCTACCCATCTGACAAAGGGCTAATATCCGGAATCTACAAAGAACTCAAACAAATTTACAAGAAAAAATCAAACAACCCCATCAAAAAGTGGGCGAAGGATATGAACAGACACTTCTCAAAAGAAGACATTTATGCAACCAAAAGACACATGAAAAAATGCTCATCATCACTGGCCATCAGAGAAATGCAAATCAAAACTACAATGAGATACCATCTCACACCAGTTGGAATGGTAATCATTAATAAGTCAGGAAACAACAGGTGCTGGAGAGGATGTGGAGAAATAGGAACACTTTTACACTGTTGGTGGGACTGTAAACTAGTTCAACCATTGTGGAAGTCAGTGTGGCGATTCCTCAAGGATCTAGAACTAGAAATACCATTTGACCCACCAATCCCATTACTGGGTATATACCCAAAGGATTATACATCATGCTTCTATAAAGACACATGCACATGTATGTTTATTACAGCACTATTCACAATAGCAAAGACTTGGAACCAACCCAAATGTCCATCAGTGATAGACTGGATTAAGAAAATGTGGCACATATACACCATGGAATACTATGCAGCCATAAAAAGGATGAGTTCATGTCCTTCGTAGGGACATGGATGAACTGGAAAACATCATTCTGAGCAAACTACCAGAAGGACAGAAAACCAAACACCACATGTTCTCACTCATAGGTGGGAATTGAACAATGAGAACACTTGGACACAGGATGGGGAACATCACACACTGGGGCCTGTTGTGGGGTGGGGGGAGTGGGGAGGGATAGCATTAGGAGATACACCTGATGTAAATGATGAGTTAATGGGTGCAGCACACCAACATGGCACATGTATACATATTTAACAAACCTGCACGTTGTACACATGTACCCTAGAACTTAAAGGATAATAAAAAAAATTAAAAAAAAAGAAATTGTGAGATACACACACACACACACACACACATACACACACACACACAGTGGAATATTACTCAGCCATAAAAAAGAATGAATTAACATACCCTGAGAGCTATAGGAAAATAAATGAAGAAAGAGTTATACCAATGAGTGTCATATATAGAAAAAAGATTGAATCTGTAACACTGCAAACTAAAAAACCTTAGAAAATTATGAGGGAAAATTGGTTTTACCCCAGTATTTCATACCTAGCCAAATAACAAGCCAAGTATAGGCTAAATAATTTCCAAATTTGCTGTATCTCAACACTTATATCTCCTGTCCACTCTTTCTGAGAAGTTACTGGAGAATGTTTTCCTCCAAAATGAAGACACCAACATGAAGGGGAATACATAGGATTTAGGAAAAGAAGCAAGAGGGAGGGGCAAAGGGAATTATTAGGCTGTTTACAAAAAGAAGAGAAAGAAAGAGGGAAACATGCTTCAATATCTTCAGCTTAAAAGAATGGAATGGAAAGAACATCTGATATATTTGTAGGCATTTAGAGATTTTTCAGTAAGTTTGTGTAACTTGGGAAATAATTCATGAAAGATACCTTGAAAACTAAACAAGTAGAGAAACAAATAGGAACTTTTAGAAAATTGAAATTTCATGCAGGAAATTAATGGAAATAAATAATACCACATGGCTAATCTGTGAACAATGCTTTACATAGTCATACAAGCAATAACACTAAATACTGATTTGTTTAAAACATAGGAGATATATAAGATAGGGAGATAGGGAGTAGAGATGAAGTGCATTGAGTATTGGATGTAAGGATACTCAATAATCTCCTTTCTTAAGAAGACATCAATTTAACATTCACAAAATAGCATTATAAAATGGTAATTGAAAACACAGCTAAATGAGAAAAGATACAGTTAAAAAAACTTAAAGTGGCCCCTTTTAGGGGACTGGCTGGAGAGTTCAGAAAAGGTGGGGCAACAAATTGCTTGCTCTTCCTCCCTCCTTTCTTCATTTCTGGTCCTAGGTTTTATAGTAATAATTCATTTCTTAACTATGTACATCTATTAATTCAAAGAAGAAAAATAAAAGATAAACCCATAGCACTTTTAATGTCATGATATATCTCTATTCCATATAATTTAATGTTTAATTCTTTGAGGAGTGTAGTGCTTTATCATTGTATTATAATCATAAAAAGGAAAAAGTAATTGTTACTACTCATAAATAAAAAGTTGGTAATTTTTTTCAGTATCAAGCTATTAAATTAAAGGCACATAGTTTGTACAAACAAACAGTTCATGACTTGATAAAATTGAATTAAAAATGTCATTATTTCTCTCTGTTTCCATTAAATAATTAGATATATCCTTCCTACACAGAAGGCAGAAATGAATTTTAGTTATTACCACTCAGTATTTTCTCCCAGTTGCACTTAACACAAAGGAGTGGCTTGTTGTTGTTATTGCCATTGTTGTTCTAATTAAAATGGATAATCACACCATATTTCTCTAATATGATCTTGGAAAAATCATTAATTCAAGTGGTATTTGTCCTTTGCAAAAAAAGTGTAATGCTCCCTCAAGGTGATTAGTTTTCTGGGAGGTCATTTTAGTATTCTAGATAATTGTTAACTAATTATTTTAAATGATGATTGTATATTGGCAAGAATAGAATATTTCAGGGTAATGAGTTTAACTGATAGTAAGAGATTGCTACTTTGGAGATTGTGCAATAACTGCTGGTCTCCATTTTCTGCTTGCAATGAGCATTGGTGGATAGGAATTAAATCTACATTTTTAATATGTTAAAAAAATAATTGGTTACTTCAATAATAAGTGTTGAGCCAGCATTTAGAACCCTAGAGCAGTCCCTAAGTATTTTTGTTTTACAGTTCCATGGCTTGTCATTTTCACAGTCCTTTCCATTCTTCCTATCACTTGACAGCTGTGGGGCTAATTCTCTCCCAGGACCAGTTTCCCAGAGGCATGGCCCTAAACCTTTTAACCTATTGACTTATTGTGCCAAATTTGGAAGGATAAGCATGTTTTGCATTGTGCTCAAATCTTCATTTATCTTTTAAAGATATGCTATTTAGAATGGTGGCAATCAGCAATAAAATGTGTGGCTGCCAGATTACCATGTTGTCTTGTCATGAACTATTACCTCACTGTGCTGGGAGCACATGAGAGTAAGATAACACAGTATAGTACAGAGAAAAATTGAGTTTATTTCCTACCTTTGGAAAAACATTAAAACATTTCTATATCTTAATTATTATATTCTGTCACTTTCATAGGTTAAAAGACAATAGCTCAAGCTCTGAGCCTCATTAAACTTGTTTGAGACTGTCTTCCTTAGCTTTTTTTTTTTAAACTACTCCCGTGACAGATTATTCTTTAGCTTTCTTAGAGCATTTTAGCTTGTTGATTTCACAATAAAATAAAAAAATAGAATGGCTTCTTAATCCAGTAATTGAATCAGACTCCTAAGGCAGTAATCATTTCTGTAAAAAAGAATGAAAAATCCAAAATACTATCATAATTACATAAAAAGATGAATTTTATATTATAAGCTAATGTAACAAAGTTATAAGGATAAATAAGAAGAAAATGATTGCATGTCAAAATTAGGAAAAAAAACCTGTATGTATGTGTATGTATCTAGAAAGGGACAGTAAGCCCACAAGTGGGAAACTTAGACAAAATCAATAACCCATTTCTTCTATTGCTTAGCTCTATGAACTTTATGAAAACCAATTATTTAAAAATTTATGTCACTTGCGATTTTATGGTTTTCATCATCAATGGCATGCATTTCAGTTCTTAGAGCTTTTCTACATTTGATAATTCCATAAACTAAGCTATCTGCTGCCCCCCAGGGCCAGTTTGAACTTAGGTAACCTCCCCACCTTTGCCAGTGTCTGCTCCATGTTGTCAGCTGGTTTCTGGCATTAATGACTTCCTGATGTTGCTAACTTATGTTTCCTCACCATTTCCTACACTGGCCTCTATAAACCCAATTCCCTTTATTCTAATCCATTCATTTATAATACTTAAGGTATAAAGTAGAACCTCCCTAGGCACACCTACCATTACTTTGACTGATATAGCCACAAAGTTATCAATTTTTTACGCAAAGAAGACAGAAAATGCATAATTCTCCATATTTCTTTGCCTCTGACATATCTTGTTAGGTTCAGAACTATGAGCCATTTGATATTTGTGTGTTTGTTGCATATATTGTATTAGAAATTTGTCAACATGAGTGATGGAATATTTGTAGGGTGGTTGCTGATTACTAGAATTAGAATTCACATCAAAATATGATACCAAATAAAGAAAAGGAAAAATCTATGGGACAGTTGTTTCTTACAGATAAGAAGACATTTTCTTTTTAATTATAATTTTCAAATGATCTCTGAATGATCCTTATCTTTAATACAGAAAAGGAAAATAATGTACTAAGAATGTTGGCAGAAGTATAAGTCTGATTTTCCTATGAATAAAACTCCTTTCTCCAATACATTTCTTACTTTTTGTGATACATGTAACCAACTTAAGATGAGTCAAGCCTAAATAATACAGCAGCATAGCCTGTCACTTTTCCTCCACTGATCTTTGTGACCTATTCCTTAGTGTAGGTTACTTTTCTTATTTTTCAAAGAGCAAGAAGAAAATGGATCCCATGTGGATGGAAGATGTCTATGAAAGCAAGCCAAGTGGAATAAAAAATAGTGAGGAGAGGATATAAAAATGTTTAAAGGATGATTTTGCACTTTAAAAAGAAAAGGTTCCATGACTCACTGAGAGTTAAGATAAATGATTGACTAGGAAAACAGCTCGGTTTGAAAATAACGTAAGCAAAGAGACTCCAAAATAAACAAGAAGGAACTGAGCTATTGAGACCATCCAGTCTCCCGAGACCTCACACTTTCACATTCAGCACTGAGAAGGGAAAAATAACAATAGTAATTATACGAACATGTTCAGACCTCTTTCACATGTCAACATACAAAAACATGCTTGGCCAAGAACTTACACCTGTTACAGGTCTTCATCATGCATCCTCAAAGTCACTTTTTCCATTGTGGCTTCAAATTCTTTCTCATGTCTACTGTCTTGTCTTCCTTTCGTCTTGCACTCTGGTGCCTAGCTTTTCTTCTATAACATCAATTAGAACTCTCAAGAACTTCTTCATGGCTCCTTATGTTTCTCTCTTCAATATGAATACAATGGTATTTTCTTTTATTTCTTTATTATTATTATTATTATTATTATTATTATTATTTTGACACAGGGTCTTGCTCTGTCATCCAGGCTGGAGTAGAGTGGTGTGATCATGGCTCAGTGTAGCCTCAACCTCTTGGGCTCAAACAATCCTCCCACCTCAACCTCTCAAGTAGCTGGGACCACAGGCAGGCATCACCATGCTAGCTAATTTATTTTTAGTTTTTGTAGAAATGAGGTCTCACTATGTTGGTCTTGAACTCTTGGGCTCAAGCAATCCTCCCACCTTGGCCTCCCAAAGTGTTTGAATTACAGGTATGAGCCACCTTGCCCGGTGGATATTATTTTTTTCTTTGGGGCTGAAGGCAATTGACATTCCTTAAAATTCTACTATCTATCATTCTAAAGAGTTCTGTTGAACTATACCTCAAGGGACTTAAAGACTTTCTTTTTCCTCTGCATTTTACCACCTACTCCTCTTACCCCCGGCTTGGTGCAGTGATGAGAAGGCATTTAGTAAACACTGTTTCAGTTCTTCTTCCTCGGTTTCCAAGGTCCTCTTTCAAAGTGATCTTAAATCCCTATTGAAACTGTTTGTTTTTATCCAAGATATGGAGTTTTCACTCCAAGCTGGTTGTTCTCAGTACCCTCAAAAATCTCATGTTCTCCCTACTTGTGCTTATAATTCTTAACTTAGGAAGAATATTTTAGTTATCTGCCTACCCATTTGTCAAGGTCTTGTTCAAGTTCAAGCTTCACTTGCCACATTGGGTAACACTTCTAGTAACTACTACACCCACCAAAAGTAAACTGTTAATTAATCTCTACTTCATTTCTGGTGATGACAACAATAACAGCTACCATTTACTACACTCACATTGGAAGCAAGGCAGTATGTTAAAATTTTGTTTACATGAAGTATTCCCAGGCATCTTCTGAAGTAGGTATTGTTATTGTTATTATTATCATTACCTTACAGATGAGAAAGAGCAGGATTTCTGTGTTTAAATAAAGTTCCTAATTTCAAAGTAAGTAGCAAAACTAGATTATAAACCTAAGTTTCTGATGTCCAAGCTGAGACTCAAGAATTTTGATACATAGCCTCAGTTGACACTTCAGCCAGCCTGAGCGCAATCAGTAAAGGTAGTTTAATGTAATTATATTTCCTCTTTGTCTTCCACAGTGCCTACAATATCAGGTCTCATGCACTTGCTGGTTGATTGCTTGAACAGACATCTCATTTCATAGTCAAAATTTTATTGTGCTGTGGCTGGGCGCGGTGTCTAACACCTGTAATCACAGCACTTTGGGAGGAGGCTGAGGTGGTTGGATCACTTGATGTCAGGAGTTCGAGACCAGCCTGGGCAACATGGTGAAACCCTGACTCTACTAAAATACAAAAATAAGCAAGTGTGGTGATGCACACCTGTAGTCCCAGCTGCTTGGGAGGTTGAGGCAGGAGAATCGCTTGAACCCAGGAGGCAGGAGCTGCAGTGAGCCAAGATCATGCAACTGCACTCCAGCCTGGGCGACAGGGCAAGACTCTGCCTCAAAGAAAAAAAGAAAAAATATATGTATACACACACACACACACACACACACACACACACACACATATATATATAGCAATTATATATATAAATAAAATTGGAAAAATTATATATTTAAAAATTATATATACACATACACAAATTATATATATACACATATACACACATATATATGTGTGTATATGTGTGTGTGTGTGTGTGTGTGTATATATATGTATGTATGTATGTATAGTGCCCTATAAGTCAATTGCAAACAAGAGTAATATATGCAACTGGGCATAGTGGCACACATTGTAATTCCAGCTACTCAGGAGGCTGAGGCAGGAGGATCACTTGAGACCCAGAGTTAGAGGCTACAGTGAGTTATGATTGTGTCTGTGAATCGGCACTGCACTCTAGCCTGGAAACATAGCAAGATTCCATCTCTAAAAACAAAAATAATAGTATATGTTAAGTTTAAATAATTCAAATCTAATGAAAAAAGGTAAATCAATTTTCGATTTTTAAAAACTCACCTTTTTATAGAACATGGAAAAAATGTATATGTGATAGAATCATCCCTGAACAGGAAGTCAACATTTTTTAGAGTGTAATAACATGCGAATATGACAAGATTCTGAAAAAATATTTTCTTCTGTCTTTATTTCTTGAGTATTACTAATAGTATTAAGATTTTATTAAATATTATCTTCATGCTATCAGTTGTAAGTTTATAAATTGATCCTGTTTCAAATATTTAATGTTTCACTTGATTTTTGAATCTATAATACATTTCAGAATATCCTTTAGTCTGTTCAAGAGTAATGGTTTCTACATAATTTATATTTAAAGTTAGGTTGGACCATACTAATTCTTTCTTACCCTGAAGTGTCAATCATGATCAAGGTGTCATCGATAAGGTACATTACTACTGCTCTTCTTGTTTGATAACTTTCTTTAAAATTAAATAATGATTTATTAAGCTTTTAACAAAACAATGGAAATAAGGGCTGGGAGCAAAGGCTGAGAAGGCTGAGAGTGAAGATGGGACACAGGTATAGAAAAAGCTGCAGTGGTACACAAGTTTATAAGAGAAAAATAGCTCCATAATTCTCATTCTGAAAACAATTTATAAGTATACAAACAACAAATGTGTTACATATATGATGTCAATCTTCCAGCTGTTGGGTAATTTCAAGTGACAGAATTCCACTAAATTCTTGGTTATCATGAAGGCACACCTTTGGTAGTTTTAGTTTTCATTTGACTCTTTCTCTCATAGACACTGAAAGTATTTTTATCCACTAAACAGTGTGACAAAATATGATGAGTGAAAAATTTGCTGTATTTGGAAACTAGGTTTGAGGGAATTAGATAAAATATTTGAAAATCAGTGGTTGTTAGATTTCAAATCTTTTCCTTTCAAGCTAGCTTGCCTATCAACAAATCCTACATTTTCTTTGAAGAGTCTTTGAAACTCAAAATGATAGTAGAACAACAATGCACTGAAAAGCAAGAAACCAGCTATATTATTTGGTCTCCTTGTGATCTTGAGTAAATCACCTAAGTTTGACATGTCTTAGTCTTCTCACCTTTGAAATTGTTTAATGCAGTAGCAATTCATAATCATTATTTATATAGAAACTATGCCCTTTTATCTTTAGGTTTTAAGGATTTTGAATAATTTTGGGATGAGAGAATACATTAAATATTAAGTAAATATGTGCTGAACGAATACTAATATTATATGTTTTATTTGTATTTTTAGAGGCAAGGGTCTTGCTACGTTGCCCAGGCTGAACACAAATTCCTGGGCTCAAGAGATCCTCCGACCTCAACCTCTCAAGTAGATGGGACTACTGGTGCATGCCATCACACTCAACAATACTGATATTCTAATTCAAAGTTTCTTAAATCACAAACTAAAAGCAGTATCAGACTGTGCAAATTAATAACAATACAGAGCCAAACACACACACACACACACACACACACACACATTTTATTAAATGGATATTTGAATAAATGAGTAAATAAAACAGAGGGAAGTTTAAAAAAATAACAGAAATTCCATATCATCCTTTTGAATTAGTGAGAATGCCCTGTCTTTCAGGGTTCGTTGATTTCAAGAAAACAATAGCTGAAGAAATAATGAATACCTGCTGGAGTCCAGGCAGGCTAGGTATAAGTGGCAGGTTTAACACTCAGTTACCTGTGAGAGCTCACGTTGGACGAAAGATTCTTCTTGTCTTTTCCTTTTCTACCACCCACACACCCACACCCACACCCATACCCATACCCATAAATGTAATTCAGCACAATTTTGACATAAAACATTATTTTCTTTTAAATCTATTATGTCATTGTGCCCATTGCTTCAAGCTGCTGTTCAATTCTCTCTGCTCCCTCTTAGTCCAGAAACAAACACTGAGCTTCACACCTTTGTTAAATTGCTTACTATTAAGGCATCGTTTATTGAAATATCTGAGTATTTCCTTCTCTTGAGACTTTGAGGCACTAGGAATAGTTCTTGAATGGCAGCACCTTATATCCTATGATTGGCAGAAAGGAAAATATTTGAAGATTTGATAGGCCTCACCTAACAAGGTAAGAAACTTGAAGGAATGCTTTAAACCCACCTTAACTCTGGACAAAATTATCTGTAATTGTAATTTTGGGATAGTGAATTTGACAGATGAGGTCTCAGTACACAGTACATTCGGATCCCTTTGTGTAAATAAAGAGTCCAACTCCATTTTTTGTTGTTTGACTGCTGACAGCTTTTAAGCCTCACCCTTCCTTCTTCTCCTCAGCCTCACCTATGGGCAAGCTGTGAAGAAAGCCCAGGTGATATCTCCTTTGCCAATGAAAGTTTAAACCACAAAGAGGAAGCCACAGCTTGGTCCCATGTCCTAGCCCCCATTAAAAAAAAAAAAAAAATCCAAGCCAGTCTCCTTTCCTTCTGTCTCTCACCAATATAGAGCATGTTTGAGAGCCACCTGAAATCCACAGAGAGCCTCATTCTATGCAGGAGAAACCTCTTCATACCCTCTCGATGCATGCGTGTCACTGTGAGCATCAACATCCAAATCAAATTCTGTGTGTGGGTCCATCCTGTTATTGCAGAGGGTTAATCCTATTACTGCAGTGTGCATCACACAACTTGCTGGTTTGGATAAAATGACTGGAGGTTTAGTGGAGTGTCTCCTTTATTTCTATGATGTAATTGCTTTAAGATCAGATAAACACATTCGCCACCCCCAAATGGATGACTAGGAACTTCCTGGAAAACCCCCATTGTTATTTCCTCTCCATTTTCCCCTCCCTTCCTCTCCAACTAGTTCATTGCCATCTTTCCTCAAATTTGATTGTTTAGATAAGTTGTACCAGATTCATTAATACCCTGAAGATATCGCAATTCGCTGGTTGTGACCTACTGATTGCCACACGTACGCAAATTCACCAGCTTTCCTGCCAGTCCAATATGGGGAAAACCTACTGCAGTCAGTGTTGTCTATACGTTCCTTCCTCATACCTTACATTCAACTGTCTATCTTCTATTGTCCAAAATAAATGATAAAACTACTGATTTATTCAACATTTTGAATCTATGGTAGTAGTTGTATGTGAGCAAAAAAAAATTATTTGGAAAATACTTGTTTGGACGTGGATTGTGTGTGCATATACATACATATAATGTTATCATATATGTATATATATCATATATAAAGTATTTCATGTATGAAACTAAAATTACACATATATATGCACATCAGATTTTTATCATATACACATGAACATATATATAGTGTCAATTTACTTGATCATGAGTATTTATTTTATTGAGAAATGCACAGCTATTTTTTTAAAAATCAAAAAATATATCATAGATAACATTATTAAAGTGAGTAGAGTTTTGCTGTGTTGAAGCCAATAATTATTACATTTCACCTAAGTGACCTTGAAAAGTGAGACTCATTGAAGTTATTCTATGATGCATACTGTACAATTTACAAGTTTGCAGCACATTTACTGAACATATTAAAGTCACACTCCAAAGTATATGCAATTGATAATTTTAATGTTTCAAAGCTACTTTTTTTCCTTTAGGAAAACTATCTGCTGTTGGTAATTATAAAATCATCTATTTCTGTTTTTAATGAAAAAAAGTACCAGGATAATTTGTATGTATGTGAAAGTATCCATTTGAGAAAAAAAAAGATTGAATTCTTAGCAGAGATAATTTTATTTACAATTCAGTAAGTTAATTTAATTTTAATTGTCCCCAAACACACAAACACATTTCCCCAGAGGCCATTGAGTTAACTAGAGGAATAAAAGGGAGGAGAGACAGTTTACTTTAATACTTCTTGGCTCTTCCACACACATGTCTTAAAGTGAGAGACTTCTCCCTACAAAAAATTCATGATTTCTTTGTCTTCCCACTCCTCTCCTTTCCCATTTATCAGCCATAACTCTCACCTGAATCTTTAGCAGGAGAAAAAGAGACGCCTAATGTGGGTACAATACACAAAGGTAGATATGGCTGCATCAGTGTTCTGATTCTAGACTCTCCCACCCCTACCCTTCTGGAATTGCCTCTCTGACTGCTGTTGAGTCCTTTGAAACATGTTTGCCCATCAGAGTTTCAGAGGCCCATGTGCATTCTGAACACACCATCCAAATTAGCAGTATGAACGGAAGAAAAACCTTTCTCTACCTACACTTCTCATTTTCCCTCAGAGACAGATATCTGCTTCTCACTGCTTCTCTACCTCAACATAGGACTTAAGTTGGAATTTATTTTTAATCAGTTTATCAGAATAAATTGTTTGCAACAGGAGTATATTTTTACTGCCTTTATTGCTTTATCTTGTCTAATATTTTAATAAATGAGTAAATATAACAGAGAGCAAGGAGTATCAAAACCAAAAGGAAAAGGATAAAAGCCAGCCTACTAAAACAAGGGAAAAACACATTGCCAAGAATATTCTTTTCTGATTGAAAGAAAGACTTAATTAAGGACTATTAAGTTTATCCTTTTTTTTTTTTTCAATCAAGCCTTGTGTTTGTAACTGGAAAGCATGAAAAACTGTAAGTGTGCCTGAAGTGCCTTCGGAGGAGTCACAAACATAGAAGAAGACCCATGGGATTAATGACAGTCATGTCTTTCTGAGAGTAGAATAAACAGTCATCCAACTTTCCATCCAATAAGTCCACTGCACATGCTAGCCAGGCTCTCTCTAATGTGAGGGAAAGAAACAAGCAGGTAGACAGTTTCCAGTCATCGGCCTTGATTTCAGCACTCATCAGGTTCTTGACATAGTTTTTAAAAACGGGGGTATATGGCTACTATGGTGCAAATAGAGTGGGGTTTAGGCTTTCTATCCTTTCTCTCCCAAACAGAGAAATACTGAGTATCAGTCTCCTCAAACTTTCTGTAGTTCACATTTTCTCACCTTCTACAAACACAGTTAAAGATAAGGAGCAAGAGAAGAAAAGGTTGAAGCAAGGGTCTGTTTTCTTAAAAAAAAGAGTCATATTTAAAAAGGAAAACTCCGCATAGGAGAGTTCAGTGACTTCCCCAAGCTTTTGGGATGAAGACAGAATTTCTTTCTTAACATGGCCTATGGGCCTTTTCCAGTTACCTCTTGAATTAAAGCTTTATGCCTCATTTCCCCCTCCGCACACTCTAGTCTCTGTGGTTTTTTGTGAATTTCTTCTTTGGCCTGCTACTTCCTGCCACCTGGCCTTGGTACATGCACCTCCCCTGTTTAGTAGGTCTCACTCTTTCTTATCCACATAGTTGTTGCTTAACATACTTCAGATCTGGGTTCAACTGCTTTCCTCAGTCTCTGGAACAAGCTAGGATTACACTGGACATCTTTTTTTTTTTTTTTTAATAGCAGTTGTCCAGTGGAATTATGTGTTTATTTGTGTGATTAGGATTCTCTCTCTCTCTTTCATTCTTATTCTCTGATGGTGGGGGCCATGTTTTCAGTCACCCCTATATATCCATAGTACAACAACATGTCCCCCACAAAAGACTAATTAAAAGAAAAAGAAACTCAACTATGTATGTGTGTTCCTCTACGTATATGCATAGGGAAAATGTAAAAACTAGAATAAGTATCCATTTGGTAAGATTAACAGGGATGCTTTATTTTCTTCTTTTTGCTTCTGGGTTTTCAAAACTTTATAAACGGTTATTCTGTAATCATGCAAAAATTCAATTAAAAATAGATACACGTTATAACGGATTGAATTGTGTTCCCCAAAACGGTGTGTCGAAGTCCTACCTCCAGTAACCTGTGAATGTGGCCCTCTTAAGAAAAAGAGTCTTTGCAGATGTAATTAAGATGTAAGTTATACAGATTAGGGTGGCCCTAAATCCAATCACTAGTATCCTTAAAGAAAAACCATAGAGACCGTCACACACAGAAGGAACACAGCCATGGGGAGATGGAGGCAGAAATTAGAGTGAGGCAGCAAGTCAAGGAACACCACGGAGTGTTGACAACTGCAGGAGTCTGGGAAGATGCAAGGGAGGATCCTACCCTAGAACCTTCAGGGGGAACATGGCCCTGCCAACACCTTGATTTTGGACATGTAACCTCCAGAACTGTGAGAGAACACTTTTCCAGTATTGAATACTATTTTGTTTGTGATAATTTATTATGGCAACCCTAGAAAACTAATACACAAGTCTATGGTAATCCTCTACAAGTATTCTTTAAATTAGGAACATTACTAAGTAAGAAAATGTATTTTATGTATAGAACTAACCTTTTGCACTTTGGGAGGCCGAGGCGGGCAGATCACCTGAGGTTGGGAGTTCAGGACCAGCCTGTCCAACATGGAGAAACCCCGACTCTACTAAAAATACAAAATTAGCTGGGCGTGGTGGCACATGACTGTAATCCCAGCTACTCAGGAGGCTGAGGCAGGAGAATCGCTTGAACCTGGGAGGTGGAGGTTGCAGTGAGCCAAGATCACACTGTTGCACTCCAGCCTGGGCAACAAGAGCAAAATTCCGTCTCAAACAAAACAAAACAAAAGAAACCTAACCTTTTTTTTTGAAGCCATCATTCTCAGCAAACTAACACAGGAAACCTAAACCAAACACTGCATGTTCTCACTTGTAAGTGGGAGTTGAACAATGAGAACACATGGACACAGGGAGGGGAACATCACATACTGGGGCCTGTTGGAGGTTGCACGGCTAGAGGAGGGATAGCATTAGGAGAAATACCTAATGTAGATAACAGGTTCATGGGGGCAGCAAACCACCATGGCACGTGTATACCTGTGTAACAAATCTGCAAGGTCTGCACATGTACCCCAGAACTTAAAGTATAATAACAATAAAAAAAGAAATCGGTATTGTCTAAGTCATCAATTCTTGCTGTGTTTGTTCTGTGTGTTACCTAAACTTATTTCACTTTCTAAAGGAAATCTTGACATAAAGCCATGACCAAGAAATCACATGGATCATATCATCATCACTGTCATCATTTATTGTTATTTTGGGGGGTGGTGACGGGGTTATTTATCTAGATGACAGTGCCTGCTTGCTTTCTTTCCTTTCCCACCTTAGCTTAGCTGTGTGATTGTGTAGTATATTCCTTTCAAATCTAAAAGTAGCTGATTCAATCACTATTTTATCCCTCTGTGCTCTGAGTCTAATATGAAGGCTTATGGGGTAGACCCAGTATATTTAGTTTTAAATACCCTATGTAAGTGCATAGTCAATAGTCAATTTACATCACATCAATTCTGTTTATAAAATACAAAGCATAAAATTGCTTTACCAGCTACTGGATCCTGGGCTAGCCAATTGGAAAGAGATTAGACAATTCAAGGCCTATTTGGCTGAATTCACCACTTGACGAAAGGGAGAGATGTCAGCAGTATCAGTTGAAAACTGAAAATTAATGCTGAGGGTAGCTTAACAAGCTCTGAGTCACCAGTGTGCCGGTTCCGGGTGCTGCTAGTGTTGGAAGGCAGCCCAATGTAATAGCAGCAGCACAGGCTTGAGAGTCATGAGCTGCTTAACATGAGCAAATGACTTGCCTCTGTGCACCTTATCTTCCTCATCCATAAAATGTTAACAGTAATACTTGTCTCGCAAGACTAAATTTGTATAAAGGCCCAACACAGTTTCTAACATTTCTTAGATGCTCAATAAATGATTACTGTTATTGTAGTTATTATTTTTATTTTGTTTTGTAAAGTAGTTGGTCAACTCACAACATGCATCTAGTTTCTTGAATAGAGCCAAAGAAGCAAAATCCATACAAGGAACACAGTTTCTGCTTCTAAGCCATTTAAGCTCCAGCAAGTCGTTTAACCCTCTCGACCTCAGTTTCTTTATCTGTGAAATGAGAGGGTTGAAGTCGTTTCACATTGTGTGATTTTAAGCGTAGCACACAGAAACTGAAAAAATGTCAGTTTTCTTTTTGTCATTCTATCTTGGGGTCATTGAACCAATTTGACCATTTTTTTAACTGCCTGTGTATATAATAAACATAATGTTGACCCCACTAGAAAGGTTAATTAACAAAAGTCAAACCCTAATTTTCACTGGGCATCTTTTGTTAGGTAAAAACACATTTAGATAGAAATAAAAGAAAGAAAATTTCACTGTCTATGGTGGGGTAAGGATGAAGTTTTTTGGTGCGCTCATTGAGGAAGATGGGCACAGCATATGGAATGTATATATTCCATTTAGGTAAAATCATACATTACACACATGCATATTTGTACATGCATTTGTGTTTATAATTTATATTCATATGTGTGTGTGTTTGTGTGTATGCATGTGTGTATAAAAATACAGAAAAGAGTGGCTAAAAAAAATCAGTGAAGTTTATCTCTGTGTGGCAGAATTTCAGAAGGCTTCTTTTATTCATATTTTTGTATACTGTTTGAATTTTTATAATGAATATATTTCATTTATATATTCAGAAAAATATAATACAATTACACTGAGATAAGAAAAATATATAAATGTTACAGTCAAATATGCACAAAAAGGCAGCTTGAATTTTTAACATTATTGCAGCTGATATACACTTTCTCATGAATTTCCTTTGTCCCTGAACAATTGGAAGAACAAATTTGCCAATTAAATAAATCACAGTCTGTTTCTTGTAAATACTATTCTGGGTAGGGTAAATTTTCAAAGACAGTATTTGGTTCAATGAGAAGCTTTTTATTGCCCCTGCAGGAAAGTGGGTCTGGTATCCACATGAAGATCATGTTGCTGTCTTCTATCATTTTGCAAGCCTCAACAGCAATTTCCCTTGTGTCATCTGGTTATTAAACATCCTATTGACAATCACTATGGAATTGCGGGCTCCATTCCATGCTACATAAATGCCATGGGTGACTTCTTAATGTCACTCTGGTACTTCTCTTTGCCCAAATAGACCATGCTACCATTTCTCCTCCACTGTGATCACTGTGTGGGATCAAGTTGGAGTGGTGCCTGCCAGGTGATCTCTTTCCAGAATCTGGAACACCAACAGTGCCATTTTAGAAACCACTCTTACTTTTACTCTCTCTTTGCCCTACAACAGAAAGCTCCTTTCCTCTGAAAGAAATTTCCTTTGCATCACACGCTCATTCTCTAAGAAGTGGTATTTGATGCCTTCATTCCCTGGTCCAATATTGTATGGATGATATTAGGAAAAAAACTGATGTCAAAAAGAAGATTCATCAGACGGTACTAAAATATTATCCCTTCCTTACTTCTTTTTAATATTATTTAACAAACATTCACTGAGTACTTCTTAATGGTTGGCTATAGTATTAATCATGATTCCATGGAATCATGGAATAAAACGTATGAAGTATTAGTACCTTAGGAAGGTTACTCAATTTATCTGATATTTATTTAATTTTTATTTATTTTCAAAATGGTGACAATAATATATAACTGACTAGCTTACTTATATTTATTTAATTTTTATTTTTTTCAAAATGGTGGTAATAATGTATGACTGACTAGCCTACTTTGATTGTACAATAAGATGAATAACAGCATAGGCTTTGGACTCAAAACACTTGAATTCAATCTAAATTTTTCTACCTATTATCATCTGTATGATTTGGGGTACTAATATGTTAACATACCTACTTAACATGTTTTTGTTCTAGTTTCCTCATCTGTAAAGTGGGGATTAATAACAGCGATAATAATAAAAATATGTACATCATTTATTGTTATGAAGTTGTAAGAGTAAATACTTGTACAACATTTATAAAAGTATTTTATTTCTAATGTAGTTAATAAATTATTGTTTTTCAGAATTGACATCAAATGATAAAAAATTAATATGAAAGTTGTAATCTTGAAACGTTTTACAAATCTAGTTTGTTACCAGCATTAATAATGTACCATCCATAACTACTTCTCCAACATTTCTGGATAAGGCAGGGAACAGTGCTTTCATTTATTTTCACGATAATCTTACGTGTCAATAGTCCATAGTTAGCAGGTAAATAATATATACCAAGATAAAAGATAAAAACACTTAAACATGAAAATTTTAAAGTTATGTCAAATTATTTCCAAAATTCCAATTAACCCATAAAAGGCAAAGGGAAAGAGGTTGGCAGAAGGCAGGTTTCTTGCATCCCCATCTATGGAGTTACTCTGGGCACTAGGCATACTTGATCAGCAGACATCCCACTGTGTAAATGTAGAAACCAGAAGGAGAAGTAGTGGTAGTGGTAGTCTACTTCTACCATATTGTGTAAAAGTAGAAAACCAGAGCATGACTTCCTGTCCTTTGCACTACTGAATTCCAGGCGTGCTGAAAAGGTGGATGTAAGTCAACTTCCAAAGTAGAAACCAAAGAAGTACTGTTGAAAGAAATGCTGATTTTTATGCAGCTGGTAAAGAAACTGCCAAATACAATGGGCTCTACCTGGATGCCAACACATAAACACTTTGACCTCTTACTTCACCGCTAGTAGAATTCTTCTGGATTTTATAAAAGCAGTCCATGATCATGGGTGATTCTGGCAGAAAAAATAACAGATTGCTTGTCGGTATTAAACCAGTATTTTTTCAGAACTGGGTTTAGGAGACAGAAATGGACTTACTTCAGAATGAAATAAGCTACAGCATCTTGCTGCATAGAAGGAAGAATTTTTTTTTTAAAGAAGACTGGTTTAGTTGCTTTCTCTTTCCTCTTTACAGACAAAAACATAGGTCACTCTAACACAGTTTCCATTCATTGATTTGCTCATTCAACTTGTAATTCTGTTTTTTGCCTTTCTACTGCCCTCTTTCACTTTTAATATGTTTTAGCAGAAATTTTATTTTTTAACTTTGCCCTGCATACATGGCATATTTTCATTGTCAATTCTTCTTTATCAATCTTTTCCCAACCCCAGTTTCCTAGTTTGATCAGTGGGAAGGGAAAAAAAAAAAAAAAAAAAAACATGATCAAGACACACAGGAACTCCAGGCAGACCCGTAGAAGACTTACACATAATGCATGAAAGACCAGGTGGCGCAGTGAACTAGAAATCACCAAAGAAATGCAGATTGTAGAAGGATCTGTCTAAGTGTCCTTGCTTAATTT
Organism: Homo sapiens; assembly: GCF_000001405.40. Classification (NCBI taxonomy): domain Eukaryota; kingdom Metazoa; phylum Chordata; class Mammalia; order Primates; family Hominidae; genus Homo; species Homo sapiens. The sequence continues at coordinate 10,302 of NW_019805489.1, read as the reverse complement.
CCATAATTTAATCTTTTCTTGGTTTCTTGGCTGTCAAGGTGAACATCAACACAATTCAGAAAGTTTTTTAAGGTATTGTAATTTCTATAGCAAAGCACTTTAATTACTACATATAATTTGTTAAGAAAAATAACAAGGAAATGCATTACAGGTGGAGAGGAAAAGTGTTCTAAATCATCCAACTTCATTTTTTTTCATGTGTGCAATGGAGAAACTCTATATATGCCAAAGCATTTACTGCTGTAGCAAAGGGTTTTAATAACTATATATAGTTTGTTAAGAAAAATTACCAGGCAATGTATTGTAGGTAGAGGGGAAAGGTATTATAATTCATCTAATTTCATTTTTTTAATGTGCACAATAGAAAAATTCTATACTTCCCAAAGCATATACTGCTTTGAAAGTTATTTGGCATGAGACTATTGAGAGAAAGAATAGTGGCTGCTATTTCTTATTAACACAATTCTACTACTCAGAATTTTTTATGCATACTACAGAAAATGTGTTTTTAAACTTTTAAAACTATTGTTCAATCTGGGGTATCTAAAAGAAATATTATGCTAAATTTCACTACACTAAAGCGACACATGTAACTGATTGGTACCATATTGTATTAGACTTTTCCAAAAGGATTAAAGTATAAGTCACAGCTTCCCTCACCCTGGGTGATCAAACATTGGACATGATGAAAAGCTGTATCTGAGGACAATACCAGTTGTGAAGTTTTGATTAGGCAGCAAAACAGAAACAAAGAAACATAAAAGGAAGTTGGAAGGTAGTAATAAAAATAATGGAAAGCATTTTTCTTTTGATTTATTGCTATTTTTTAGTCATTGCCATAATTTAAGAAAGTCAGAGTCACTATTACAGTTTGTTTGAACATCTACATTAGAAAATTAACTATAAAATATCCAGAGCACCTCCGGAGACTTGATTCACTTTGTATAAATGTAGCTCTGTATTATTTGAGATAGTGATACACACACACACACACACACACACACACGCAATATTTGGCAAATGCCAGGAGGGAGTAATCAGCTTAACACTGAAACAACAAGGATTGTCATCAACTTTAATAATGCTCACTACCTATCGGTTAAAATGCTGCCTAAGGATCAGATGCTTTGTGGTCTGACTCAGCTTATTATTTTATCCTTATCTCACATAACTCCCCATCCTACTTTCCACCCACAAGTAATCACAAAGTACCTGCTCCTTTTATCTCAGTGCTTGTGATTGTGTAGCTTCTTATCTGAAACCTATCACATGTATAGACTTCATATATATTTTTTTCTGACACTTCTTTTTAAAAGCATTTCATCAAAGACTTTTAAAACAGTAGATGCTTCATATGCAAATGTAAGAGACCAAGAATTATCAAAACAAGAACAAAGTTGTAGAACTCATTCTTAGCAATTTTAAAACTTACTACAAAATTATAGTAACCTAGACAGTGTATTACTGGTATAAGGACAGACATATAGATCAATATGAATAGAAATAATACATAAATTAACCCATACATCTATGCTTAATTGGCATAATTTTCAACAAAATGCCAAGAGAGTCAATGGGAAAAGAATAATCTTTCAACAAACAGTACTGAGACAACTTGCTATCCACATGCAAAAGAATAAAGTTGGACTCCTACATCATACCATATACAAAAATTAATTCAAAATGACCTAAATGTGAGAGCTAAAACTACAAAACTCTTAGAAGGAAACATAGGTGTAAATGTCTATGATGTTGGCATAGGCAACAAAATAAAAATCACAATGGGTCATACTGGGATTATTATAATTTTAAAAAATAACAAACCACAACAGAAAAATAACAAGTGACAGAAAGGATATAGAAAACTTGGACATCTCATATATATTGCTGGTGGGAATTTTAAACAGTGCATCCTCTATAGAAAACAGTTTGTCAGTTCTTCAAACAACTAAATACAAAGTTACCACATGACCCAGCAATTCTACTCTTAGGTACATGCCCAAGAGAATCAGAAGCATAATATGTTCACACAAAAACGTATATGTGAATATTTGTAATAAGATTATTTGTAACAGCCAAAAAGTGAAAAAAGACCAAATGTCCATCAGCTGATAAATGGATAAACAATACGTGGTGTATCAACACAATGGGATAGTATTCAGCCATGCAAAGAAATAAAGTACTGATACCTGCTACAACATGAATGAATCTTAAAAGTATTATGCTACATAAAATATGTTAGTCATGAAAAACCACACATTGTATGATTCCATTTATAGAAAACATCCAGAGTATGGGAATTTATAGAAAGCAGTGATTAGTAGTTGCCAGGGGCTGGAGGGAGGAGAGAATGGGGAACAACTGCTAATGCGTACAGAGTTTCTTTTGGGAGTGATGAAAATAGGTTGAATTAGTGATGATTTTTGCAGAACTCTGTGAATACGCTACAAAAAACAGTATTTAAAATGGTGAATTTTATGGTATGTGAATCATATCTCATTAAAAAAAAAAACCTTAGTTGAAGTCACACTTTCTTGGAAATGGATTTTCTAGGCTAAGGAAGATGTCCACCTCAGCCGAATCTCATTCCTGTAACATCTTATTCTTCTATTCTGAACTCACTGTTAACACTATGTATCTCTGTCCTTCTGGATCTTTGGCTTCTCCAATAGAGGGACTCTTTGTTTTGTCTCCTTGTGCTTCTCTTATGGTCATTTGAGAAATGCTTATTGATCAAACAAAGGAAGTCATTCTTAAGGAGCAGATACACATCATGAGGAAAGAAAGAAGCCATGATCATGTTAATTGCATCTGTATCCTTACCAAATAATTGATGATGAGCATCTTAACTGTGGCAGGGGCTTGCTTTCATAACTCTAGGGCCAGTTGAAGAAGCCATGCTGCCACAAAGCTACTCCCAACACTCCCTGCTGAGAACTGCCTTCTCTTTGTAGAACTGAGAAGGGGACAAGGAGCTGTCCAACTTGATCTAGGTCCCATAGACATTCCTCTAGTAGAGAAGTGTCAGGAGGTACCAGTGGGCATTATCCCAGCAATCGAGGGCTCCTATCCCATCTGTCAGCTGTAAATAGAGTGCAAATTTAGAGATATCATACATCTCACTTATCTCTGTCCTTGTTTTCCATCCTGATATGAATCATCTGGTCATCCTGGGCACTAAAAAGTATGATCTAGGAAAAGACAGCCATATTTCACCAATATCCCATTATATTCAGATGTGATTTTATAGCCATCCTAATTATATCATAGTTATCGAACATTTATAAATTTGTAGCATTCCTTATACTTAACAAGAGAAAATTTGTAACATTTCTTCTATGACTTATACAACCTGCTAAGTGAAAATATAAATTTTTGAGCTAAATTTACCAAAATGGTTCCTATCCTGTTTAGTTCTTGGCTCAGGGAAGAGAAAATAAACTGATTAGAGAGTTAGTAGTAACAGTGAATATCATATGCCACACCCATGAAACTCTCAAAATCCTAAAAATAATTATCAATGTAACTAAATTACAGACTTTTAAATAATGATGTGTTGAGGTTATATCTCTTTTAGAAAATGGTACAACTCTTTCCTGAAATATCATCTCAGTGTGCAGATTTTAACACATTTCCTTATTAGTTTTGAGCCTTTTTACACAAGAGAAATTCATCCCCAGAATTATATTTTACTTCTTTTATCTCTGAACATAGTGTCTATCCAGATAGGTAATGGATAAGGTCTGAAAGGGGTATATCAAAAGATATTTTGTCTAGGGTATCCATGAGTCCTCTGAAATTATAGGCAATTTTAAAAGTATGTTACATGTAGTTTTCTGGGAAGAGGGCACATTTCTCAAAGCCGTCAGCACTTTATGTAATGAACACCACTTATATTCTGTGCCCATTCTCATATTCATTCTTTTGCTCAGGACTAGTATGTCCTCATTATCAAGCTAGATGCACAAAGAATTAAAGACAAATATAAGACATCATTCATGAACTCAGGTATTTCATTGTGGAATTAAAGAGATGAGACTTGTATTTCTTTATTTTTATACAGAACAGATTGTATTTATAACCTCTAAGATCCCTTCCAGTGATAGAAATCTCAAATTGTGAATCATTATTGGCACACAGCAGTGGAGTTAAAAAGAGAGGAAAAACAAACAACGTAGGACCTTTGAAACTTTTCACATGGCACTCAGCCGATGGAACCTAACAATTCCAAGCTAGAAGATACCTAAAGCAGGATCCTCCTGTCCAACCTACTTATTTCACACAGGCTCTCTATCTTTCGATTAGTGATTCTAGACAATGTTTGATGTGACTGTCACTATTTGCAATATTAAATCCAAGATTTAACTTTATCCTCCTCAAGTCTGCTGAAGAATGGCTTTGAACTGCGTGCCAGCACAGTGTGCCTGCCGCAGTTGTTCCCCACTCCTTCAGGGTTCTGCTGTATTGCCAGAGGCTGCACTGGAGGCTTTGTTTCAGTGACGCTTTCAAACTCCTCCTGCCCTGTTTCTAATTGCTGCTCTTCAACTCTGTACAACACCAATGCTGTTACTTTGCTGCCTTCCCTCCCTTCTGTGCAGCATTGCTAGTCCTGCAGCTCAAGTGATGAGTCACTCACTTTCTTGAACTCGCCTCCTTCTTCACCTCACTTGACTTGAGAGGTGCCCAAGAGGCTCAGCCCCAGCCAAAGGATAGTACCAATCCTAACTTTATTTCAGGGAAACTCAAGGAACTCTTGCACTCCTGCTCACACTTTAGTGGGTGGTTTTGCCAGAGTTCCTAAACTCTTCACATCAGTTCTGGAACTCAGTTCCTGGTGTTTTGTTTGTTTGTGTGTGTGTGTGTGTGTGTGTGTGTGTGTGTGTGTGTGTTTGTGGTGTTTTTTTTTTTTTTTTTTTTGGTTTTTGTATTTTTATAATTCTCTGCTGCTCCTAAATTGACAACCTTCCTGGTGCCTCTGTTGCTATAAAACTGGGGTCCTGATAAATGTTTAATAATTTCCTCACAGGGACGGGGACCTACGCAGAACCAATGGCAAAGTTGTCCCCAACTCCTATCTCCTTATTCTCATGCAAATCTTGGCCTTTTTATACCGCCCTGCAGCATCTTAATATAGACCCATTGTCTTCAGTAGGCTTTTAAAAAAAGGTTTGGGATCACTCACAAAAGAGGTAACAATTTAAAATCGAATATGAACCATCACAATGCTTAAAATGGATCAGATTCTTCCCATCGCATGGATTTTCATTTAGGCCATATCCTCTCTTAGGGTCAGCTAAACACCAGCGATTTCACTCCCAGCTCTCTCTTTTTAAAATAAATCTCTTCCTCCTGTACCTTCACTCTCAGATTCCCACGACTTCCTAAAGCATGACAATTTAGTCTTCCATACCAGAACCACACTCCTGACATAGCTTGGTGTATCTAAAAACTCATTAATTGCTTTACTAGTGTAAAAGCTGTGAAAGTTCAGTTTGTTCTGTGAAGGAGAAGAACAGAACTGAATTATTAGGCAGGGTTTCCATACACCACTCTCATCGTAGTTTGCTAGGCTCTTACTCGTTATACTAACTTGTCCAAATGAATATCAAAGCATTAACCAAAACAGGTTACTTACACCTAATCAGGAACAGAGACTAGTGAAACATCTAATAGTTGCTACAGTCAGCATTTCTTTGTTTTTCTTCTAGAAGATGGTGAAAATAGGAGCATGCTGAAAAATTGTAAATCTTTCTTCTGTACTTTATATGATAAAGTCAAAGAAGCTGTTTGTTTGTTTGTTTTTGTATTAGTTTGCTAGGGTTGCCATAACAGAACAATACTGAGTGAGATGCTTAAAACAATAGAAATTTATGTCTTCAAAATTCTGGAGGCTATAAGTTCAAGATGAAGGTATTGGCAGGGGTGGTTTCTTTCTGGGGCTCTCTCCTGGCCTTGTAGATAACCATATTTTGTTCGTGCTTCACATGGCCCCCCCAAGTCTGTCTGTATCCTAATCTCTTTTTATTAGAACACCAGTCATGGTTGATTGGGAAATGCCCCAATGCCTTCATTTCAACTTCATTGGCTTTTAAAAGACTATCTCCAAATACAATCCTATTCTGAGGGGCTAGAGTTTACTGAACATATTAATTTTGAAAAGATAACTCAGCCAAGAACACCTCTTGACTGAATATCACATGGATTCCATGGTCAAATATATCAAGAAATCTTAGTCTGACTCTAAATAGGACCACCATACCACCTAGACCTAATACCACCTTACCACCTAATACACAGACCAACCAAGACTCTTTTGAGAGTAAAAGGGGTTGCTATCAGTAATTACATAAGACAATATGTAATTGTCTTATGTAATTCCAATTACATAAGAATTGTAATTCCAATTTCTTGGAATATTGAAATGACAGAGACTTTCAAAGAGATACCATGGTAACAACTTAAGTGTGTTTGTGGAGCAGGTGAAAAATTTCAATGAGATGTATTCTAGAAATAATTGCCTAAAGCACATTATCTTTTCAGCCTATTGCTTGAAAATGTGCGTATCTGTATTATCATAAAAACTGTCACTTTATCATTTTTTTCCAAGATAAAATTGCATTTTCTATTCTGTCACTGAAATGGAAAAATCACCCAAGGGACTGGTTAGAGAAGGCTGTTTAAGAGGTTTGTTCAAATTTGTGTTTAAAAAACACAGACTTTTGAACATGGTTAGCAATGAACTGGAACAGATCATGCTGAGGAAAAGATTAGTTGGGATACACTGATTTTCCAGACTCTAGACTATACCAAAAATTCAATTATAAATCTAATTACAACTTCAATTGTTAAACAATCAACCAGATTATTTTTTGTTGCTGGCTGTTTTGTTTCCTGCTGACTCATAAGCAGGTGCACCTGCAGGTGTATACTTTGCCATCACCATGTGATCTAATCAGCCCTGCCCTTTCCTACTTTCTGTATTACTTTTTACACATCTTAAGCTACAAAATCTGCAAAAGCTGAGGTACAAACCATACATTTCTATGTTGGGGCATAAAACTGGAGAAGGATTCGTAGCAGGAAGGCCAGATATTTCATGCCAGCAATCCCACAGTAGGTTTGACTGTGTAGTAGTAATTCCAGATATTCCTCAAAAATGACTCCGTGGTTAGATACATTTGGGAGATTTTACAGACTGTAGTGCTTTTAGAGACTTGAAAACACATTACAATAATAATAAGTCTAATAGTTTTGTAGTAAAGAAATCTGTAGTGTAGCTTAGTTGGATTCTCCATTTCCTTAACAAATTTACTGCAGATACTTTTGTAAATGTTAGCAAATAATGGCCTGAGGAATTAAAGAGAACGGAAGGTGGAAAAAAAAAGAAGCTTCAGAAAGGCTTTCGGGAGGCCCTGTACCCAAAAGGAAGCAGCGAGGGTATTCAATAATCATATGGAGGGGTATGCACGTATATAAGTCACAATCTTTGTAAATATATAGGTGGTGTCACTGCTCATTACTCAATGAGCAGTGTCAGGGAAAGAAAGTTAATTACCTGACACGTTTCCAGCAGACAGAGCTATTTTCACATTTAAAAGAGCGACCAAAGCCTCACTTTTAATTTACTTAAAAATAGTCCACATTTATACTCTTCAACTCTAACACTTAGATGATTTGCTCTCAAAAAAACATAATATTCCAGAGATTCAATTTTTTTAATTCTCACTGAAAAATTTAGGAACTGAGTGGCTGTTGATAGGCAAATAAAAGTGCAACACAATTTTTCATACAAGACACATCTCTCAAATGAAATTGTATGGTACTGAAATTTACAATGCTAGCAGTTTGAAGTAAATGCAATAACACTTTAAAGTGGCATTACAAGATTTATTTTTACATACTTAAAATTCAAAAACTCTTCAGAGAATTCTAAAAATAGAAAATATTTACTTTAGGAGCACTCATCTATGTTTTGGTTCAACACTAAACCATAAAAGAATTCATGAAGCATACCTAACATGTGGTTCTTAGAGTCTGCTTTGTAAATACAACTTTCAAATGGTAAAAAATGCAAACAATCCTCAGTTATCAAGATTAGGTGCAGATACTATCTCATGGATGATCTATAACCACCGAATTTTTTCAAACATCACACTGTTTTAGACATCTATTTATTCTGCAGCACTCATTCCAACGGAATTTTGCTTGATGACAGAAATTCTCTGTAAAGCCATATTGGCTATTAAACACTTCAAATATGACTGGTATGGCTGCCTTTTAAATTTTATTTCATTTAAATTAATTTAAAGTTAAATAGCCATATATGGCTAGTGGCTATCATATTGGACAGCACAGCTCTAGCCCTTCTAACTCAGTAGACGCGGTAGACGTGGTGAGGTTTTGTCCAGATGTTCCACTGTGATGCCCCATCCTGTCAAGAGAGAGCCTGTTGTCTCAGCTGCTGTGAGTTCTGTCAGCAGATAGCTTCCCACTGTTAAGATTTTCAGGGTTTGCCTCAGTCATCCAGTCTTCACACAACGGCACAACGTTCTGGGGGAGGCACACTTCCAATGACTGATTGCAGAAACGGCATACAGACCGGGCCATTTGGACTACCAGTGAACAAGTCTGATAGGTCGTATCTTCAGGTGTGGTTTGACGGTCCCAATAACACAAAGTGGAACACAAAGGGAGTTCCATTTCTCCCTTTATCCAATCCTGCTGTGCTCCCTGTTTTCCACAGGTATTGATCATTAATAAAACCCTTGCAAACCAAACTTGCTCTCAGTACCTGCTTCTGGACAATCTGACCATTGTCAGTCTCTAAGAACTGATGTGGAGTGATTTGTAGAATAACTTTCAAGTGGGGAAAAAAACTCCAACAAAGTACAAATGCATATTTATAGTATGCTGCATTTTATGTAAAATCAAAGGATAAATAAGAAGAATATGTGTATATGCTTATTTCCTACCAAAAGAAACACAGAATAGACAAACCATAAATAAATAAGATAGATTTCTTATAGGGGGTAGGTGAAGTGAGGTGGTCGATTGAGGGGGAAAGATAAACAAATGAATAGATACATTGATCATCATGAGAGCCATGTCTCTCACTGTTGGTGAGGGGAGTTACAAATAGGGAAGAGGGAAAAAGCAGAATAAACCTTATACAAGCTGGGTTGGAATTGAAGCTATCAGTATCTATAAATATGGATTGCTACCTCTACTATCTGTCTGTCTGTCTATCTATCTATCTATCTGTCTATCTAATCTACCTAATCTAGCTTTGTCCATCGAGAGGACTTAAAACACGCAACAATAGTCAATAAGTCTAGCACCCAGATATTGATTCTAAATATCTTTTTCTACGAAAAGGATCTAGAGATTTTTGGAGAAATGGCTGACTCTAGGTATGAGTGGAGAAAATACAAGATAAGCCTAAAACATTGTACTGTGTCAGAAAGTAAGCGTGCATTCAAAAGATGATGCAAACATACAAAGATGTCAAAATATTGGACAATTTTTATTGTTATTTCTTAATGATACATGATATTTATACATATATATGGTGATGCATGTGATATTTTGTTACATGCATGGAATGTATAATGATCCAGTCAGGGTATTTAGGGTATCTATTACCTTGAGTATTTACTATTTCTGTACATTGGGAACATTTCAAGTCCTCTTTTCCAGCTATTTTGAAATATGAAATACATTGTTGTTAACTATAATCACCCAACACTGATACTGAATGTTAGAAATTATTCCTTCTATCTAGCTATGTATTTGTACCAACTGACCAACCTCTCTTCATCCCCCCGGCGCCCACCACACCTCTACCCACAGCCTCTGATATCTATCATTCTACTCTCTATCTCCATGATATAAACTAATTTTTTAGCTCCTACATATGAGTAAGAACACGCATATTTATATTTCTATGCCTTGTTTATTTCACATGACATATTGACCTCCAGTTCCACCCCTGTTGCTGTAAATGACATGATTTCATTTCTTTGATGGCTAAATAGTATTCCATTGTGCATATATACCACATTTTATTTATCCAAGCACCTTGAGGATAAGCTATCTTGCTTACAGCCACCACCTGGGGCTGAAGCACATGCTCCCTAGCCACCTACCTACAGCTACTATTACTAAAAGAAGCCCCACATTCACCAGAAATAGGGCTGCAACACAGCTGCTGCTGCCCCATCCACCTTTGATGGTATCTGAGCACTCCTCTTGGGGACCTGAGATCGGATTCACCCAACCTGCCACCACCACCACAGCTGACAT